>NC_000018.10:14510749-14810799 GCF_000001405.40 Homo sapiens
AAAGAAGTCTGGCCACGTTTTTGTAGAGTGGCTATGCTGTGTGGGGGGTTCACTTCAGCCCCTGGTCTCCTCAGACACTCTGAAACTCTAAGACTGAACTGGCTGAGTCATCCAAACAGCAAAGATGACAGTCTGGTCCTCCCCCTGGGAGCTCTGACTCAGGAGGCCTGAAACCTCTGTGAGCCAGAGAACAGCAGTGAAGGTGGCTGGAGACCCTGGTTGAAAGGCTCCACCCAGTGATTAGAAATGTGGTTGGGGACTGGCTTAAACAAGAATCTGGCCACGTTTTCGCAGGGTGGCTGTTCTGTGCTGAGGTACCACTTCCACCCCTGGTCAGCTTGGGCTCTCCAAAGCCCACAGGCCAGAAGGGCTAGTTGCCCAAACAACAAAGGTCATGGCCCACCCCTCTCTCTGGGAACTCTGTCCCAGGAAGGTTTCAAATCTCCATTGGCCAGGGAACACTGGTGGGTGTAGCTGGAGGCCTCAGGTGGGAGATCCTGTCCAGTGACGAGGAACAGGATCAGAGGCCTGCTTACAGAAGCATTCTGGACATGATTTGGTAAAGCAGCTGTGCTATGCCACAGGATCTCTTCTGCCCCTGGTGGGTTTGTACTCTCCAAAGCCCGCACGCTGGAATCGCTAAGTTGCCCAAACAGGAAAGATGGTGGCCTGCCTCATCTTTTCTCTCAGAATTTATCCTGTGTGATGGAGCTTAATTTTTAGGTTGTTAATTTTACTGTCAGCGTTAGAGTTGTTCAGAAAGAATCTCACTGTTATCTTTTAGGTGAGATATATGAGAATTCATTTTCTCCTGTAAATAAACCTGTTCATGTTTGTTCTCTGGAAAGAAGTCCCTTTCAGCTATCTGACTTTGATCACAATCATGTAGAGCAGTAGTCAGTCTACAATGACATGATTGAATTTCCATTTCCAGTGTTTCCTAGCTGTGTCTTACATTCTCCAGTTCAGAACTGAGCATTCTCAGTTGTCAAAATCCTAAGCTGTCCACTGTACTTAAATATTGGTTTTCGTTAATGCTTCTTCATTCAATTGCATAGCCCTTAGAAGTTTATCAGTCTTTTCTTTCACACTTTCAATTTCCTCCAAAATTTTATTTTCCCTTAGCTGGTTCTGATGTTTTGTTTCATCTAGTTCCAGTCTCCAGAAATTAGCATGGCAATTTCTTCCTGCAACATGCTGTTTTCACGCAAGAGATCTTCTTCTTTCTTATGACTAAGAGAAAGCTAAGTAAACAAAGGGAACTTTTAGTTAGCACTCAATAGAATGACATATCATGATTTCTTCTAAAATTAAAGAATGACATTTATATTTGTATAATGAAATAATTCCCATAGTGGATATTTAACTGGAAAAAAGTTGGACAAAACTTCAAATCTAAAAGAGTGTAAATTCCAAAAAGTTGAAATATTTATCTAAAGACCATGAAAAATAAATCACTAGAGGATTTTTAAGAATTTCAGAATTGGAAAAGCCTTTCTCTGAATTACAAAAAACCCAGAGGCATAAAATAGAAGATTAATACATTTGGCTACATTTTTTAAATTGGGTTTACACTCTGATATCTAACCTATAAACCACACCATCATAAGAGCCTTAGCTATGCGTATATTAGGACAGAAGCAATTCCTCAAAGTTCTTTAAGTTCCTTTTTCTGAGGAATGTTTTATCAATATACTGCTGTCCTAATATTTTTACAGTCAGTTGTAAGCATTACATTTATTCATAACTGTTAAATCTAAGCATTGTACCCTTCTACAATGTACACATCTGCGTCTAAGCATTGCACTTCTACCTACAACACTCAACTCATTTAGGATCACGATTCTTAAAAGGAGAGGTCAAAAAATATATGCAGCCAGGACCAGTGGCTCACACCTGTAATCCCAGCACTTCAGGAGGCTGAGGCAGGAGAATCGTGTGTACCTGGGAGGCAGAGGTTGCAGTGAACTGAGTTTGTGCCACTGCACTCCAGCGTGGGTGACAGTGCAAGACTCCATCTAGAATACACACACACACACACACACACGTATATATGCAACGTGCAGGATTTTTGCCAGGTCTTCTGATGCTACTGCTAGTGATCCTCCACAAAATCACAGTTGCTTCTGTAGTGTAAATATATAAATACAAAAGAAGCCTTTTATTTCAAAATACAAATGGTAAATAAGATATAACTTACAAGGCTTTTCTTAGAAATCATGAGATTATTTGCCATTGCAATAACTTTTCTTTCCTCTTTATAATGTTTGAAACATTATAGTAGTAAGTGTGAAATAGGGGAAACATACTCAACTATTCATCTGGGAACAAAATACTTATCAATAAATTATCACTAAATGTGTATCATGGCATGTCATTGTTTTCAAAGCTCTTTGCATTGAAATGAGAAACTACTCGGAGCAAACTGTTCCTCTCCTCAAAAGCAAGGATAATGACATCCACAATGTGGCCTCTGACCCAGCTGTACATTTCCTACTTTCCTATTAGTGAAAATAACAAACTGACTTCTCTATTAATATTTTAAAAAGAACGAATGTCCCAAAACTAGCAAATCTGTTGTTAGTAGCAAAACTTATTTTTGATATTGGAAAGATAATCAATTCTTATGAAAAATATCAAATGCTTTTCCTTTGGATTGAGGCCATTGTGAAGGTCACTACTCGACTGTTGCAGGCAAATGCAGTTGAATTAAGAACATGGCTTTATCCTATATGTACATATATAGATATATGACCAAGGATATACAGGGTGTGTGTTTACATATATACACACACACACACACACACACGTGTGTATATATGTGATTTAAAAATCCTTTATACCTTCCAAAATAAAGCTTTTTAAAAATATATACACATATGAAAACATTTGAAAATGACTAAAGAAAATACCTCAGAATTCATTTTCTTTTCAGCCACTTCTATCTGCTTTTGTTTATTAGTCAGAATCTCATCTTGTGATATTCCAGTGTTCTGTTCTTCAGAAAGTTGTTTCCGGGTATCATTTTGTTCGTCACTAGAAGAAATTTTAATTTTCATGAAATACTGGAGGTGTCCCTAAAATGATCTACAGGGCAAGATGGCACCATCAGATGTCATTCACACAATGCATATCTGCACATTAATCCAAGACAAGACAAAGGGGTCTCACATCTGTTAACCCTGCTCTCCCAGTCATGTTGGCACCAGGGACTAGTTTTGTGGAAGATAATTTTTCCATGGACCTGAGGTGGGGGATGGTTCCAGGATGATTCAAGCACATTACATACATTGTGCACTTCATTTCTATTATTACTAATATATAATGAAATAATTATATAACTCGCCATCATGTAGAATCAGTGGGAGCCCTCAGCTTGTTTTCCTGCAACTAGATGGTCTCATCTAGGGGTGACAGGAGATGGTGACAGATCATAAAGCATTAGATTCTCATAAGGAGTGAACAACCTATATCCCATGCATGAGCAGCTTGCAATAGGGTTCAAGTCACACTCCTATGACAATCTAATGTCACCGCTGATCTGACAGGAGGAGGAGCTCAGAAGGTAATGTGAGTGACAGAGAGTGGCTGTAAACAGATGAAGCTTCACTTGCTCCCTACCACTAACCTCTTGCTGTGTGGCCCAGGTCCTAACAGGCCAGGGACTGGTACTGGTCTGTGGCCTGGGGATTGGAAACCCCTGTGTCAACCCAAACTTTTTATGTTTATTTTTTGGAAACAGTTTCCACTTATATTCTTGATTCCTCTGTAATTTATAGACAACTTAGAAATTCCCTTTGGAACAAGACAGGGTCTAATATTGTGTTTTTAACATAGAACTTTGAATTCATTTTATCTGTGTATGAGAGAGAGATGTGAAATAAACTGATCAACAATCGCTTTCAATTTTACTTTTATTTCATGCATATTAAGAAGAAAACTGGGAAGCCCTAAGGCAGAGCAATTGGGCAAGAGAAATAAAGGGCATCCAAATTGGAAAAGAGAAAGTCAAACTCTCTCTTCAGCAATGATATGATCTTATGCCTAGAAAACTCTACAGACTCCTACAAAACACTCCTAGATTTGATAAATGAATTTAGTAAAGTCTCAGAGGTTACAAAATATACAAATACCAATGAATAGTACCACTATACACCAACTACAACCAAGCTGAGAGTCATATCAAGAATCCAATCCTTTTTACAATGGCTGCAAAACAGCAAAATACCTAGGAATATACTTAATGAAGGAGGTGAGTCATCTATCAAAGGATAACTGGAAAACACCACTGAAGAAAATCACAGATGATACAAATAAATGAACATACATTCTATGTTCCTGGACTGAAAGCATTGATATTGTGAAAATGCCATAGTGCCCAAAGTAGTCTACAGAGTCAATACAGTTTCTACCAAAGTACCAATGTCATTCTTCACAGAGTTATTTTAAAAAGCTGCCATTCATGTAGAACCACAAAAGAGCCTGAATAGCAACAGACATACCAAGCAAAAGGAACAAACATGTTGGCATCACATTACCTGACTTCAAATTATACTCTAAGGCCACAGTAACAAACATCATGGTACTGGTATAAAAGTAGATACACAGATCAATGGAACAGAATAGACAACTCAGAAAAAAGGCCACTTACAACCAAATGATCTCTGAGAAAGGATACAAAAACATACACTGGAGAAAGTACACGTTATTCAACAAATGGTGCTGGGAAAAAAAGATAGTCACATATAGAAGAATAAAATTGGATCTCTACCTCTCACCATGTAAAAAAATTAATTCAAGATGGATTAATGGCCTAAACCTAAGACCTGAAGACATTAGCCTAGGCAAATAATTTATGATGAGGACCCTGAAAGCAAAAGCAACAAAAATAAAAATAAATAAACAAATAAATAAATAAATAAATAAATACCTAATTAAACTAAAAAGCTTCAGCACAGCAAAAGAAATAATCATCAAAGTGAGCCAACAACCTATACAATGGGGAAAATATGGGCAAATTATGAATCTAACAAAGGATTAATGTCCATAACCTACCAGAAACTCAAACAAATCAGCAGGAAAAATACAAATAATTCCATTAAAAAGTGGGCACATGACATGAATAGACATTGCTCAAAAGAAGATGTACAAATGGTGAACAAGAATATAAAAACATGCTAAATATTACTAATCATCAGGGTACAATAAAACAACAGTGAGATATCACCTCACTTCAGCCAGAATGGTCACTACTAAAATAAAAAAAACAGCAGATGTTGGTGTGGATGTGGTGAAAAAAGAAGAGTTATACACTGCTGGTGGGGATACAAATTAGTACAAATCTATGGAAAACATTATGGAGAGTTCTGTTAAAGTAGATCTTACCATTCTATCCAGCATTCTCATTTCTGGATACCTACCCAAAACAAAAGAAATCATACTCTCAAAAAGACACCTATATACATATGTTTACTGCAGCACAATTCACATATGCAAAGATATGTTATCAGCCAGTGTCCATCAACTGATGAGTGGAATAAAGAAAATTTTATATATATATATATATATATATATATATATATATATACCTATACCTGAGACTGGGTAATTCATAAAGGAAAGAGGCTTAATTGATTCACAGTTACACATGGCTGGGAAGGCCTCAGGAAACTTACAATCATGGCAGAAGGTAAAGGGGAAGCAGGCAACTTCTTCAAAAGGTGGCAGGAGAGAGAGAAGTGAAAGGGAAAGAGCCCATTATAGAATTATCTGCTCTTGTGAGAACTCACTATCACGAGAACAGCATGGAGGAAACCGACCCCATGATCCAATACCTCCCAGCTGGTCTTTCTCTCAACACCTGGGAATTACAATTTGACATGAGATTTGGGTGGAAACACAAAGCCAAACTACTGGGGGGGGGTGTATCCTTACTTTTAAAATATCAAAATGTCATTATTTATATTTCAAAGATAGCAATTTTTATTAGTAATGATTTTGTTTGAAAATAAAATGACCTGGTAAATTTTCTTCACTTTTAGCCTAGTATTTAGTCAAAATATAAAAAGCTGAATTTGCCAGCAGCAAACTGTAATTACTTTTAAATGAGGTAAAGTTGTATAAGAATATCACCGTTATTGTACTGAGAAGAAAGTGAACAAGAAAAGGAATTTAAAAAGAGAGTAGAGTATCACTACCATATACATACATGAACTGACAAAGAGACTAAAATCTCCTACTGGAGATTATGTTAGGACTTGAGCAAAAGCTTCTAAAAATACCAAAAACAGAAAGAAAATAATTAATTTTAAGGAATAAATTATACAGAGAAATATGTATTTTTTTAAAAAGAAAACAGATATTCCTGAGAGCTGTTATTAACCAATTCACCTTGACCAAAATTTTAAAATGAAGTCTACAATTCTGGAATATAAAATAGTTTCATTTTGAACATAGTTAATTGAAGGCAACTTTTATACAGAAAATTTTCAGTTAAAGTTGACTCTAACTTATGAAAGAAATGACTTGTACCAATGGTAACAAGAAGCCACCCAAAGCCAGTTTGAAATCTAGTCAATCAATGACCACTGCTCTTGCTCACCAACCAATATCAATGTGAGCAGCTTGCTTCTGAAATACAGCCACGCAGCAGTACCTGCTCCATCAGAATAGACAGTGCCTGACCAGTATTCCTCTTACTATAGGAAGCAAAAATTCCAACTCTGTCTCTTTATTTCAAATACCAAAGGTTCATAATCCCTTGAAAAGAATTTTCAAGTCCATTAAATGTGCCACCCTAATTTTTTTTTTTTTTAAAATAAAATACTAGTGGCCAGGCGCAGTGGCTCATGCCTGTAATCCCAGCACTTTGAAAGGCCGAAGTGGGTGGATCACCTGAGGTACAGAGTTCGAGACCAGCCTGACCAACGGGGTGAAACCCCATCTTTATTAAAAATACAAATATTAGCCGGGCATGGTGGCATGCCCCCGTAATCCCAGCTCCTTGGGAGGCTGAGGGAGGAGAAATGCATGAACCAGAAGGTGGAGGTTGCAGTGAACTGAGATCATACCACTGAACTCCAGCCTGGGGGATACAGCGAGACTCAATCTCAAAATAAAATAAAATACCAGTAAACTTTGCAATTCCTCTGACTCAGTTTGCCATAATTACAATTATGATTACTAGTAAAAGAATAAATAGTGAATAACCACAATATTGGGCTTTTCTCTCTAAATAAAAAAATTAATATAAAGAATGTAGCTTATTATAAAAAGCCAAAACAATTTTAAAAATGCACATAATTACCGGGCAAAACTGTTAGAATGAACCATGTCAAACATTTTTAAAGTGAGAATTAATCAAACAATATATCCAGGATAAACTCCATTCACTCATTTAATAAGTATTTATTAGGTAGCTTCATCCAATATGCTAGGCCTTTTTCTAGGCAGTGAGGATATTGTAGTGAAAAATAAAAACCCTATTCATGAGAGTGAGAAAAACACACAATAACAACAGACAGATAAGGCAAAATATACAGGATGTTACAGGAGAAAAACTAAAGCAGGAAAATGAAATGTTTATGTGTTTGATGGGGAGGGTGGTGGGAAAGTTGGGATGGTCAGAGAAGTCCCTGCTGAGAAAGGGGATTTTTTTTTTCTAATACAAAAAACCTTTTATTTGTATATAAAAGTCTCTAAGAAATGATGACATAAGGTTAACAGCGTTGATGTCAAGATACAAATGGGTTTGAAGTTAGAGATGATAAATCACTTTGTTTCACTGAACCTTCCCTTCGTTACGTTAGAGAGCATCCCTGGTAGGCACCCAATTGAACCTTAAGCATGACGCGTCTGGGTAGCACACCGTTCTTCCTCAGAAAGTGGTTGTTCCTTAATGTGTTTCTTTTTACCCTTTTTCCTCTTCTTCTTAGAAAGGGGGTTTTAAATAAAGAACTGAAGGAATGGAAAGAGAAAGCTAGGAGGATATCTGGGGAAAAAGCATTCCAGACACAGGGAACTGCGAATCACAGAGGTGTGCCTGGCATCTTTAAGCACTAGGGGTAGATAAGGGATGGCAAGAATTCAGTGTGGCTGAAGCAGAGCAAGGGAGATAATTAGGAGGAACTTTGACATGTACTCCGAGTGAAATGGGAGATAATCAGAAGGGCTGGGGCAGAGGAATGAAACAATTTGACTTATGTTTTAAATACATCCACTGAGTTAAGAATTGATGAAAAGGGAAGTTTTTAAAAACCAGGACTATCAATTCCCAGTCTATGACACTCATCTAGACTGCAGATGAGGGTGGCTCAGATGTATGAGATATGACTGGCTTCTGGACATATTCTTCAGGTAGACCTGACAAGATTTACTGAGAGATTAGATGTGAGGTGTCAGAGAGAGAGAGAGAGATGAGTCAAGAATGACACCAAGATTTTTGGCAGAGCAACTGGAAGAGTTGCCCTTAACCAAAGTAGGAAAGACTACATGAGGTTTAGCTTTCAGGAAGGACATCAGTAGCCCAATTTTGGATCTGACAAGTGTGTGATACCCAATAACTAACCAAATAGAGATGTCAAGTAGGCAGGCTGATATAGAAATCTGGAATTAAGGAGAGAGATCTGAGCTGGAGACATACATTTGGAAATCACTAGCATATACACAGTAGAAAAAGTCATGAGGGGCCGGGTGCAGTGGCTCACACCTGTAATCCCAACACTTTGTGAGGCCAAGGCAGACAGATCACCTGAGGTCAGGAGTTTGAAACCAGGCTGGCCAACATGGGGGAATGCTGTGTCTACTAAAAATACAAAAATCAGCTGAGCATGGTGGCATGCACCTGTAATGCCAGCTACTCAGGAGGCTGAAGCAGGAGAATTGCTTGAATCCAGGAGGCAGAGGTTGTAGTGAGCCGAGATCACACCACTGAACTCCAGCCTGGGTGACAGAGCGAAACTCTGTCTCCAAAAAAGAAAAAGAAAAAGTCACAAGAAAGAAGATTGAGGAGTGAGCCCTGGGAAACAACAATGTCCAAAAGGAGAAAGATGAGGAGGAGCAAGCAAAACAGAACATGATGAATGGACTAGAAAGGTAGGAGGAAAAGCCTGAGGCAGTGAGGTCCTGAAAGCCAAGTGAAGACGCCGTTAGGGAGGAGATGTCCTCCATTGCCTCAAATATTGCTGACAGATTAAATAAAATGAGGTGGAAGAAAAGTGCCTAGATTTATTACAGAAAAAAATTAGTGATAATCTTGAGGAAAAACGTTGGAGGACTGCTGAAATTGAAGACTTACTGGCATGAGATCAAGAGTGAATGAAAAAAAAATTTGAGTTCGTGAGTGTAGACAGTTCTTTTAAGGACATCATACTTAGGAGTCATGGCTGAGAATGTTGTAATTTTCTTCCACAGTCATGGAAAAGTAATAGACAAATAGTTTCAAATTTTACATAACAGGTGTAGTTTTCAAATTTTATATAACAATTACATATTTTAAAGCTTATAAAAATTATACACATTTGGCATTAAAAATGCCAGACCAAGGTGTTAAATTCTTAAAACTATAGAACTAAAAGTTGCCTTGACCATTTCTAGATTACAGAAGCTGATTATTATTTTGTTCATGCTTATACATAAAGACCAAGAAAAACTAAAAGCTTCAATGAGAGTACTTCTTGCTTGATAAAAATCAGCCAATTCTAGGACAGTTGATACTCATCAAATATACAAAGTAATTGATCACTGTAAAATACTGAGTTCTATTAACAGGAATAAAGTGGCAGAAATGCAGAAAATAATCTTATTTTACAAATGAAATTTTAAAAATTATATGACATCACTGTGGAAAAATATGGTGAGGTGAATACTGAAATATATCCTTTTCTCAAAGGAAAGATAATGTCACACATGCAGGGCACTTTTACAAATAAGTGTTACTGCATTAGCAGCACCTTCCTTTTAGCACACGGGTCAGCAAATTAGCACCTGTGGGCCAAATCCAGCCCACTGCCTGTTTTTGTAAGTAAAGAATCTTGGAACACAGCCATGCTTATTCACTTTACAGTCCATAGAGTCAATTAGCTGGGTGTGATGTTGCACACTTGGGGTCCTAGCCAGTAGAAAGGCTGAGGTGGCAGGATTACTAGAGCCCAGAAAGTCAAGGCTGCAGTGAGCTGTGATCACACAATTGCACTCCAGCCTGGGCAACAGAGACCCTGTCTCAAAAAAAATAAATATATATAGTCCACAAAGCCTAAAATATTTACTAAATGGCTCTTTGCAGAAAAAGCTGGCCAGCTCCTGGTTTAGCAGATGAAAGATACTTTGATATATTTTAATAAAAGTTTCACCCAATATACTCAAATGTTTATATTAAATATAGATCCCCATGTACAATCCCTTGGCAATATTCAGATTGAAGGTCCAATATTTCGGCACTCAGGCACTGACAACAAAAATTTAATAACTAGCAATCTTGTTGCTAACAAGGTACAGTGTCCATGTAGCGTGTAGCTTCCATTTGCAACACAGCAGATATTACAAGAATTCTAACAAAATTATCTTAAGATGTGTTACCAAACTAAATGCTTTAAATACATTTTAATTGTGAAATAATCAGTATACTCTAGATCTAACCTCATTTGTAAAAAATGGTTGCATACTGCATTATTTTCTGGGTATGAAAATTGAGCTATTTCCTATTGGTAAGGATTTACTTTTGATAATGATAAATTCCTATTGATAAGGATCCATCTTTTTATATAATAATGCTGTAAGGAATGTCCTTACACATAAGTATATATGTGACAAATCTATACAAATATCCTTAACATACCTACATATCCTTACTATGTTATATATATGTGTGTGAATATGCTACTAAATTAATGTTCAAAATGTATTTACCAACAGTGTATGAAATGTCTTTTTCAATGAGACCATTTCCTTTGCAGCAACACACATGGAGCTGGAGGCCATTATCCTAAGCAAACTAATGCAGGAACAGAAAATCAAATGCCACATATTCTTCTTACTCATTAGTGGAAACTAAACAATGAGAACTCATGGACACAAAGAGGAGAATAACAGACACCAGGGTCTACTTGAGGGTGGAGTGTGGCAGGAGGGAGACGACCAAAAAACTACCTCTCGAGTATTTTGCTTATTATGTGGCTGATGAAATAATCTGTAGTCCATACCTCCATGATACAGTTTACCTATATAATAAACCTGCACATGAACTTCTGAAGCTAAAATAAAAGTTCATTAAAAAGAAAAGAAAATGCCTTTTCCCTCACATTTGCCAATGCTGGTTATTTTTCAAATAAATTAATGACTGGAAAAAACAGTAACTCATTGTTTACTGATTTTCATTTTTCTGATTAACAGGCAAGGCTGAATATTCTAGTAAAAGTATAAAATTTGTTCATCATGAATATTAGCCCAAATTAGGATTAGTTTGACAGCATATAGTTATCTCCTATTAAATGTTGCCATAGGCTTACCTGTGATACTCTTCATTCTCAGTGTCAGGAAATTGCTGATTTTCAGGTTTTCTGCTCCTCCTTTGTGGAATTAATCCATCATCACCATTGCCAGCACTGGCACCATTAGTCAGGTTTTCTGGTAATCCCACAGGATTACTTCCATGCTTCTTTATTTCTTCTTCAACCTTGAGTGGAAGTTTGATATTAAGGATGGTTATCACTTTATTGAATAAAAATAACCTTTTTAATTGATTTTATCAATTGACTCAGTTTGCCATTATTTTAGTCATTAAAAATATCTCACACTTAAATTTGATCATATATACAGAACTATTACCGTATAATTTTAAGATGTAATTATCATGTCATTAGTATATCATTGAAATTTTTGTAAAGTCTTCTTGATTGCTGTTTGACTGAATAAAACAGAATTTTCCAAAATTCAAAAAGGGCCCTCCTTCATTTTGTGCTTTTATTCCCAAAAACTCTTCAGAATCTTATATATGAATTTACCCCATTTGACTCGTGGGAACACAAAAATAAAACGACATAGACACAAAATGTGTCTTCTGTCTTTACCACCTAGATTTTACATTAAACACTCAGATGTAGAGGATGAGACACTGGGGGACTTCAGGAATAGAAAGGAAGATGGCCCTTTTCTGCACTAAGATATTCTCCTCCCCCACTGCCTTTGATCGTTCTTTTTTCGTTTGGTTCCTGGATATCAAAAACATGATGGTGCTCACTGAAACATGAAAACCAAAGTTTGCCACAACACAAGGAGCAGAGTGAAACTGCTGAAGTGCAAGCGTGGAATTCCAGAAAATTAGATGCTCCCCAAATTTCACATTCAATAGCTATACAATTTTCCAGCTGGAAGTTACAAAGAATAAGTAATTATCTTCTTTAGCCACATTATCTAGTGATAATCAGACTAAAACCAAGAAAGATAAAATGATTGGTCCAAAGCTCCTAAAGTGGCATTACCTAGCATTTTATGGCACCATTCAGGATTGTTCCATAATAATGAAAGAATCTCTCTAGGGTTTGTATCTCTTGAAAACTCAATGTACAGAACTCTTTCTGAGTCAAATATTAAATTTTTCACTGGTGATTTATGCTACTTACATGATAGGATCATGTATGCCTACACTTACTACACTTTGTTAAACAGCATAACATAAAAATCTAATTCAACAGAAACATTTGAACATAAAGGTATACCTCTCTATCACAGTCCTTATTTATTTCTGGTTCTTGAGACATTTTCTGCAGATGCAAAAATAGAAGGTTAATTTGCTTGTTGTATTTCCATGTATGTCTCCTCTTTTGGAATGCATGTTAAAATAATTTTATTCTTAAGTAATCAAGTATGGACATGAAAAATTAGAAAATAAAATAAAATTTAACTGTTAAAATAATTAAATAAATAAATAATTAAAATTAAGAATTAACTTTTTAATCTATGTTTAGCTACTGCCACATCATTGGCTTCTGACTAACATGTGAAAAATAATTCACCTCAGACAAAGGGAGAATAAAAACATCAACCAGCAAACTTAACTTTGTTACCATTTGTTTGGACTAAACTTAATTTGTTATGTGTTAAATCTACCAAAAATGAATTAGCAGATGATTTGTAGTGTTCCAAAGGCTTCCTCACTTGAAAAGAGCGTATCTCATGAAACCCTAACTAGTGAGCCCTTGTAGTGCACTGAAGTGCTTTTTTAAAAGATTCCTAATTGGATTGTAGGCACGCTTTAAATTATTAGGAGCTGAAATCAACACCAAACAGAAAGAAATGCAAATTCTTAAATTTTAATTGAAATTATATGCTGTAATATGATAGTGTTATGTATCTAGATGATCTGCTTAAGTCCAGTTCTAATATATTCTAAGGTGTACTAATTATAGTGGATAAAATTTTTTTAATAATCTGTACTGATTTTCTGCAACTAAAATAAGGTAGAAGGTTATTGTGTTTGTGCACTAACACCAAATGTCCCATTCTGCAAGATATGATTCTTGTAATAGGCAGTTGGGTTGCTTTTATGACCTGGTTTCCTCCCTGAGCAGAAATGCTGAAGTCAGTGAGAGACCACAAGGCAGAATATGTCTTTAACCTTGGTATCAGTGACTGACAATATAAAACTGCAGATTTTCAATCACTGGCCGTGATTATTCTTCAACCATGAATCCAGCTCAGGGACCTTCAGTGTTACATTGTTCATAGTTCTATTGCTTAATAATATAATCCAATAATTGATGTTACTTTATCATGTTAGGGTGTTGTAAAAATAAAAGAACAAACAAAGGTCTGGAATATGTTTTTGCCTCTATTCCAAAAGGAAAGATTAGCTATAAGCTAATCAAAAAGGCAGATAAGAATATTTTAAATAAGAATACTGTAAAATAAGAGTATTTTAAATTTTATAGTGGTTATGTTTTTAAGCTAAATATCAAATGTTAAATTAGAATTTATTGATTCTTCTGTTAATGAGATTGCTGAATTTATTAAAATAAATTTTAAGAATCTTATTAAAAAATTCTTAAAAAAAGAATCTATTGATTCTTAAAACCTAGTCTGAAAGGTAATTTCATTTGGACTATCTAATATCGTTAAAGCAAAGAAAACAACATTAAATCAAAAATTTAAATTTAAAATTTTCCATGCCTCTGGCTGGCTATTTTCACTGACTTTAAGCCTTTGTGACTCTTCCTCTGATGTTAGCTTTAAGTCTTGTTCTGTTGAGAAATCCATATATTCAGTTAAGATGAACCACTTAGAACAGTTAAAAACTATTGCCTTTATAAAAACAGATTGAAGACAGCATTTTATTTTATTTCATAAATTGAGTGTTTAGTCTTTCATGAAATAGTTACTTAGGAAATAATTCTCCAAAACTTCAACAAACCACTTGGGGAGACACCTGATGTGATTCACTCACAAATTCATCCACCCCACATAAATGAACAAAACCACCAGAAACACAACTTTAAAATACAGTAGAAACATATAAGGTAACTCAGTATGTTGTTCACTTCCTAATAGTGAAGCAGGAAATGTAAAGAAAAGAACATTTAGTTTTAAAGAGAAACAAGTTTTCCTGCACTTAGCTACTCTGACTCTAAGGATAGTATCAGGCAGGGCCCAGGAAAGGTCGTGGTTACCCTGTCTGAGAAGCCAGAGCCCACAGGTATGGGCTCCAGACATCCCAGAGAAAAGTTAAGAAAACAAATTCCTTTACCATCTCCCCTCCCCCTCAGCATTTATTCATAGCTATTTTTACAAATGCATATATTTTGCAAATTCTTGTTTTCCTTCAATGCAGCTGCAAGGTCACAAGCTATGCAGTGGTTGCAAAACTGTCACTATATGATTAACTGCCTTTGTTCTGCTTCTGTAAGTTTGCCTATATAAGCCAAGCCCTGTCTTTGTTCAGGGCTCAGGTTTTTGATGCAAATCCGCTGAGCTGGTGTGCACCTAAATACAATCCTCTTGTTTGACCCACTGGGTCTCTCCTGCCTCCTGTTTTCTGCAAAAATAGTATCTTACAAATGATTTCCAAAATTACTACTGACACCTTTGTTAGTGTACAATGTCTTCTTAACATCTAAAATGTTTCCATCCACTATTATGACAAATTTATATTCATTTTTCTTTTTTTTTGTTTTTTTGTTTGAGCCAGGGTCTTGCTCTGTCACCAGGCTGGAGTGCGGTGGCACAATCTCAGCTCACTGCAACCTCTGACTCCCTGGTTCAAATGATTCTCCTGTCTCATTCTCCTGAGAAGCTGGGATTACAGGCACACACCATCATGCCCAGCTAATTTTTGTATTTTTAGTAGAGATGGGGTTTCACCATTGGCCAGGATGGTCCTGATCTTTTGACCTTGTGATCCACCTGCTCCAGCCTCCCAAAATGCTGCAATTACAGGTGTGAGCCACCACACCCAGCCTTATTTTCATCTTTTAAAACAATGCTATGGGAAGTCTTCCTTGATTCTGCAGATCTTTCCCCAGATAAACAGGTAACTCCTTCCTTGAGGTAGCCTTAGGACCTCACTGATTTTTCTACTGCACCTTTACCACCTGAACTGTACATTATTCTTCCACAGGTCTGTCCCCTCTACTCCAAGACTGCAGAGGACAGTCTTGCACATCATCTTTGTAAAAACAGTCTTTATTTTACTCAGAAATTTCTTATTGAGACCTGCTACATACATGCTAGGTGTTAGGGTTTAAAAAGAATGAAAATAAAGCCTGTCAGGGATGGCTTTTCTAGAACACCTGCCCAAGCAGAGACTCAAATATTGAGGCTAGCTAGATTAAAAGTGGTAGAGGGCAAGAAAGGGTGACAGCATGCCACACAGCAGCAAGAGCAGGAGCGAGGCCTGAAAGAGTGAAAGTATTTGCCTGCAATAGAAGGAGGAGTGAGTAGGGCATTAAGAGCCACTCAGTAATGCCAGAGAAAGGGCACACAGGGAAAAGGGCTAACGATGTAGAGTAGGGCAGAAGTCAGATTATGAAAGCCTTATGTGTACTTTTAAGATGCTTAGACATTAACGTTCAAGAGTGGTCCCTGGTCCTATCTGTATTTAGATGTAGATCATTTTAATGCCAAAACCAATATTCCTAGTGAGCCATTATTCATTAAGACAAGGTGACAGCTAGCTCATGTGGACACAGCTGAGATGATACTACGTAGCAAATTCTTAATAATTCTCATGAACACTTGGAAAGTCAATTCTATAATAAGTCATAGAAATTATAATAAATCACTTAATATTTGGGAAGGTGCTTTATAAAGTTATAGTGTATATGAATATAACTAATAGTTGTGAATTCAGAGCTGTGACAATAAAGCAAAAAATCACACTGTGTTTGAGTCAGCAATATTTAGATTTCTATCTAGTCTTCCTACCCAGTCCATAAATTCTAAGTATAATCCTAGTACTCGCTCTCAAGTTTAAGTTAAATGCTAGCCTATACAAAAAACACTCTTTCTCTTACTTCTTTTTTGTTATTTATATGTTGCTTTGTTTAAAGGAAGAACAGAAAAATGCCCTGCTAAAGGGATTCTGTTTGGCTGCAGGCTGCAAGAGGGGAAAAACACAAAGCACATTTTGCAGAAAATGATTTTTTAGAAGTCAGAACTATGACATGAAGTCAAGCAGGGCACTCTAGGACTGACTTTGCTGTGCTTCCTTAATATGCTCCTTGCTCTCTTTCTTTTCTGGAAGCTGTGACTCACACAGGTCATGGAGAAAATTTCCTACTCCTTCCTCATGTCCAGGTTAAATACTAGTGTACAACGTGGAAACCTGTAAATTATCTGACATTTCTCTCTGTCCCCCAAACCTTTCTCATTCAATTATCACTAAATCATATTGACTATACCTCTCTTCTTCCTCTGCTTTATATTACCACTGCCACTGAGAACATAAACATTTACAAAATGGCTTTTATTACAAACAACCCTTCCAACTATTAATGTTATTTCTTACATGAAAAAAATTAAGCAAAACAAATGAAAAAAGCATAACACCAAAAAAAGGCCAACACATTAAAATGAGTAACTGAGATTCCAAACTTTATTTTGCCATGGGCAGGTGAAAACCTTAGAATACATTGATACTAGTCCAAGGGTGTGTGACATGGAAACTATAGCTGACTACTGCAAAAGCTTCCTTTGTCTCCTGGTTTCTTTACATGGTTATCTTCCCTCAATCCCAGCAAGCTATAGGCCACAGGCCAAATCCAGTCTGCCTTTTGGCTTTGTAAATAAAGTTTTATAGGAGCTCAGTCATGCCTGTTTGCTTACATATAATCATGGTGGCTTTCACACTACAACAACAGACAACAGCCTGGTTAAGTAGATATGACAGAGACCACATAGTCTAAAATATTTCCCACCTGGTCCTTTACAGAAAAAGCTTGCTAACCCATTTTACACCATAAGCAGAATATGCCTTAATACTCAAATTTAATCTTGTAACTTCCCTGCTCAAATTTCTCCAATGAGCCCCTGCAGCACACATTGTTGGCTCCCTATCAATAGCCATTCCTTATTCTTTCTTGCAGAAGAAACACAAGTCTATTGGGATATTTATTATCCCAATCCCCCTCCTCAGCCTCAGAAAGAGAAATGTTTATTCTAAGTTAATCATGTATTTGCCTTCCCAGTGCCTGGTTTGGGAATGAGCATGTGGTGTGACCCAGCCAATGGAATGTTACAGGAAGCCCCTTGCATGCTTCTAAGTTTTCTCCCTGTTTAAAAGACACATGTGAAGAAAAGCAGCCCTTGAAATGTTGTGTTGTGAGAACAAGATGTTTGGAGCTGCTGCGGATTAGCCAACCATGAAAGGAGACATGAATAAAACACTGCCAACAGCACAGCTGAAAGAGGGACAAGTGGGATCCTAGGATATCACTGAACAACCAAAACAACTCTGGTTCCTACTGTTTTAGCCACTGCTCATCTAGTATTTACAGTCCAAAGCATTGTACCTGGTAAATTTCCCGTGGCCCACAGGGTAAGACCTACTCATTTCTATAGTATTTAAAAAGTCTATCATAAACTTGCCTTAGCTAAGTATTCACCTTATTCCCAACCTCTGGTGTCTCACACTTTTGGTACTAGCAAAAGTGAACTGCTCAGAAACCCTGCAAGGTTCACTCAGCATCTTGCGTTTTGCACTTGCTGCTCTTCCTGCCAAACAGGCAACCTCATTAGATGTTCTTCTGGCAAACACACAATCTTGTTGCATGTTCCTTCTGCCAAACATTATTCTTCTGCTTCTTTACCTAGAAAAATTCTTCTCACTCTGCATGCTTACCTTGAATCATACCTACTTTTTTTCAAAACTTTCATTCCTCATCACATATGTCTGGCACATAATTAATATATAATAAATCATTATTATAAGCTTCCAGTGGGCATCGAGCACACAGTAAGCACTGAATAAAGTAGTAAAATAATAAAAATGACAATGATAATAACAAGCTCCTGTCTGTATTTTTAATTGTGTGTGTTCTGTAACATTAGAAAAATGATTAGTATCTAAAGGACATTTAATAGTTATTTGTTAAGTGGACAAGTGAAAACATAGAAATGTTTTCTTTGTAAATTCTGTTGAAAAAGCACAGAAATGAAATAGAGACAGCTCTACTATGAGCACCTTAAGGATCAAAACTACATCTATTCCATCTTTGTCTCCTGCAACTTATAAAACCTAACTTACAGAAGCTTTTTGATAAATAGATGGCTAAATTAAAGGTGTCCTAATACAGTTTGGATTATACAATGTATTAGGTGTCCACAACCAGGTGGCATACTAGTATTTTTGTTAATGTGAAACATTTTTCTACTTTTATTATAATCTGCTGAGCCTAGAAGTGGGCAATTTGTATATTTATTATGACAATCTTTTGGTAAATGGTAGCAGAGCATCTTGTTCTAACAAAATTACTGTTATCAAGACAATTGACCAGCAGGTAGAAGAACACATCTTGTTCCAACAAAGTAAATGTATCTCTTTCCAACTTCAAATGAGGAGGAATGAAGTCAGTAAGAGTGAGACCTTGTTGGGACAAGGATATGTAACATGACTTGTGCTTTGGCGTTCTTTTGTGATCAAAAATTCCTTACTTTTATTTTTTTATCTACGGTAGGACCACCCAGAGCAGGGGCCCACAACTCTCAGGTCACAGACTGGTACCACTCCATGGACTATTATGAACCACACCACACAGGAGGAGGTGAGCAGCAGGCAAACCAGGGAAGCTTCACCTGTACTTACGGCCACACCCCATGGCTCATATTACCGCCTGAACTCTGCCTCCAGTCAGATCAGTGATAGCACTAGATACTCATTGGAGCATGAACCCTGTTGTGAACTGCTCATCTGAGGGATCTAGGTTGTGTGCTTCATATGAGAATCTAATGCCTGATGATATGTCACTGTCTCACTTTGCCCCCAGATGAGACCATCTAGTTGCAGAAAAATAAGCTCAGAGTTTCCACGGATTCTACATTATAGTAAGTTGTATAATTATTTCATTATATATTATGATGTAATAATAATATAAAGTAGCACAATAAATGAAACATGGCTGAATAATCCTGAAACCATCCCCACCTTCCCCCAGCCCATGGAAACACTGTCTTCCACAAAACTGGTCCCTGCTGCCAAAAACATTGTGGACAACTGACCTAAAGTAATTCATTATCACAAGTCTTACCTGGATTGCTGTTTTCAGAAGAGATTTTTAGCATCTGTTTTTCTTTATAGTCAGAAAGTAATTCACAAATTCTATGTATAAAAATGTAATAAACCAAATTACTATTTTAATACTGATATAAAAAATACTTACCAAATGTAAAATTCTTAGAGTATTTCAAACAATATCATAATATCAGAATTTAACAGTATTATCCCATACACTTATGAGTACATTCTACAAACTTTTCTTTAAGCTTCTAATTAAAGCAGAAAAAAAATTAGGTGAAATGCTCATAAATCAAGGGCACTGTGACCCAGTAAATCAGCATGCATTAGCATGACATTATAGAAAGTGTCCCAACTCTGCATAAGTCCTAGCTCCATAATGAACAGCTATTTGTTCTTGAACAAATTTCTTCTCTTAGGCTCAATGTCTTCTTCTACAAAGTGAGGACTTTGCTGCCTTATTTCACTAGGTTGTTATAAAGATTTAACAAGGTAACATTTTTTAAATGCTCAGAGAAATAGTAAAGCAATGGAATAATCTGTTCCTAAACTTTATGACTAAAATTATCTTGGAATCCCAAATAAAACCCCATGTGTATTTTGTTCATAGGTTCTAATATGCAAATGCTGTAGTTTTCAGAAAATGTCATTAAGTCCTAATTTTGCTTCTTAGTTGTCCTACTCCTTATGGCTTATAATTCAGGGCATCTCAACTGTGTCATAGTTTGTAACTAAATTTTTTCATAAATCTCTCATTAAAGTAGATAATGTGATTGTCCACTATTACGGAGTTGACCAATTTGTTGTGCTAAGGGCAGAAAAACCAATGGATGTTAAGACCTGGCTTGGAGCAATGATCCTTCTCTATAGACTCAAACTCTGAGCCAGCAGATGTTTGTTAGGATAATGCTTTATATTGATGTTCAATTCCAGCTGACATGGGAGACCAAAACTCTACTTTTATTTTTTTCCGTTTTCATGAAGAAGCTGCAAATTGACATTCTCTAATTTTTGACATACATACTTATAATATATTTTGCATCGAACACATTATTCAGCTCTAAATCATCTCACAGACCATCTTCCATGACTATTTTTGCAGCACAAATCACATTTCGATATTTTGGTGGCACCCATTTTGCTTTGATTCACACTGTTTCCTTAGAGCTAGTCAGCAAATAGTGAAATGATCTTCCAGTGACTGCACAAAATATGGAATGCTTCAAAGAGTTGTGCTGCCTCCTTATGCAGAAGCCATGCTAACTTTCTCTGTATTGTTCCAATTTTAGGATATGTGCCGCCAAAGCAGGCACAAAGCCCTACTTTTACACATGATTTGTGATGAGTCATGGACAAGGCTTGGCTCTTGTCCATGACTCATCACTACTTACTTAACCTACTTGAGATTCTGAGAATTCTCTTCAATGGCTTCCTGTGAGGTACAATTTGAAAATATTTTAAAATCTTGAGCTAGAGATGGAAGTAGCTTGGATGATTTTCATTATCATGTAAATCAGATCACTCAAGGGGCCAACCACAGCTGGGAGCCACTGCTTGGGGAAGGCTCATATGGGACTTTCTACTGCCTAAGGTTCTACACAGGATATAAAGGTGCCTCACAGTATAGATCTGGTAGCAAAGAAGAAGAAACAAACACTGATCTCTTTCTGCCACATTATTTGAACCCCTCTGACCCTTTATAACAAGCCCACCTCATATCTGCTAGAGAAAAGACCAACAACGGCCTGAAAGGATCTCTTACCATGAAGGTCTCAGCTCATTCTTGGCTAAGATGTGGGTTCCACATTAGGTTCTGAATACAGGAGGAAGGGTCAATTTGCTCACTTTGTGTGCGGATAAAGTCAGGATGCCCAGCGGCCAGAGCAGGGTGCTGGTGCTTTGGGAACAATGGCTGAGCATATAAGCATAGGTAAGGGAACTAAAAAATGTTGTAACTTCAAAGTCACTGTATGAATCCCCATGAAGACTTGAGGGATCTGAATCAGTAAGGGCATCTTGGTGTCAAAGGTCAACAATTACCAGGCAGCAGAACCAGTTTGAGTGGCAACAATGCAGCAACAAAAACAATGGAAACAACAGAATGATTGGAATGTCCTTTTTTTTCTCCTCCTTCTGACTTGATAAAAGGGACTGTCTTCCTTGGATTTAGTGAACCCCTTTGGTTCTTGAAAAATTCAAGGAGTATGTAGGAGATAGTCCCCAGAAGACAGTACAAGACTTTCTGCTAAACTGGACATTTCAAGACCCAAATAACTAATCAGAAAAATCAAAGATGTGATACTCTTTTTTATCCCATGCATAGGTGTTATACTTGGATGAAATGAACAATATTGGGATCTCTAAGGATAAAGGTCTTAAAAGTCCTGAGGTAAAGAATCCTGCACCCATTGGTACTTCTAACTTGTCTTGCTTTTTGTCTGATTTCTGGCTGATGCAGGGGACTAACTCACTGCCAATCTAAAACTACCTGAACCAAACTATGACATCTCACCTGATATGTAAGATGCAATTGTTATAATTATTTTAAACCTCAATTTAGCATTAACTAGCCTTTTCATGTAAACACTTACACATGATGATGACTAGAAACAGCATACTCTCTGGCCGTCTGTCCAGATAGATCTTGAGAAGATACATCAACATTTTGCTCAAGGAGAAGATTGACTATACTTGCTGATCCACAACATACAGCAAGTATGAGGGCAGTTCTAAAATTACAGAGATAATTTCTCCTTTAGGAACTGTAATAAAGTTATTTTAAAAGCTAATTTGATATACTTTACCAATTTAACATCTTGCCTGTCCATGCAGAATCAAACATTTACATGCACTAAAAGACATAAGCATCTTGGGTGCTCAAGAGTTCATCTTTGTAAAATACCACCAAGGTTAAAAGGAAGGGACAAAAAGGAAACCTCTTATCTCAGTGGGGTATTGCATAGCAGAAGCTACTAATTTAAAGTCCTTTGATGGGCAAGAAACAATGCTAGGGCCACTTATCTGAAGTGGACAAAGATTTAAGTGAAGATTTTGTCACAGCTTCCCTAGACTGATATGCTGTAATAGAAAATTAGCTAGGGGGTAAGATAAATAAGAGCTCTCTGCATGCTGAAAGCAGTAATATTAATAATAATGGTAAGAATAGTAGTCACAGGAGTTTCAGTTAATGATGCCAATAAGCATGTGCTACACACTGAATTAAATGCCACATGTATCTTTCTTGCTTATGCACAGCCAACTTTGAAGGATATATTCTCCTACTTTTCACATATGACAACATATTGGGTGGTAAATAACGTTCCCAATGTCACACACGTAGCAAGTAAGAAAGTTAGGAATTAAATCCAGTCTTGTGTGAATCCAAAGCCTAGCTCTTTTCTCTCTCTTTTTTTTTTTTCCATGCCCAGCTAGTTTTTTTTTTGTTTTTGTTTTGTTATTTTTTTTTAATTATACTTTAAGTTTTAGGGTACATGTGCACATTGTGCAGGTTAGTTACATATGTATACATGTGCCATGCTGGTGCGCTGCACCCACTAACTCGTCATCTAGCATTAGGTATATCTCCCAATGCTATCCCTCCCCCCTCCCCCCACCCCACCACAGTCCCCAGAGTGTGATATTCCCCTTCCTGTGTCCATGTGATCTCATTGTTCAATTCCCACCTATGAGTGAGAATATGCGGTGTTTGGTTTTTTGTTCTTGCGATAGTTTACTGAGAATGATGATTTCCAATTTCATCTTTTCTCTTTATCACCCACCTACAGCTTGCCTTCATTAAAGGAAAAGTGTATCCACTTAAAACTATCTTCACTCCCTCTCTCCATACCAACTAAAAATAAAAACATCAAAATACACTGGAAATAAAGAAGAAAAAAAGCTGTTGAACCCACAGTATGTGGGAATAGCAATTAATTGTCATGTGGCGATAAGCTAACATTAATATTCTTCAAAGAAAGCAACTTAAAGCAGAGTCGTTGAAAAGATAAAAGGATTTTCAACTCCTATTTATGTTTAATACAGCATATTTAGTGGAAAAACATATAAGATACAGAGGTTAAAACCTACTAGAAAGGGTTAAGAAGTTCAATACTGAGTCATAAAGTAAACTGAAAGTTAAAGTTCAAACTTCATAAAATTAATATGAAATCCCTTTAGCTAACATAAGATCATGTAACCAAAAACATCATACAACAAATAACATCAGTCAATATAATAAGAGAAGATGAATCCTACTAAAACAGTTCTTTATGTTGCCCAGTCCAAA
Source organism: Homo sapiens (assembly GCF_000001405.40). Taxonomy (NCBI): domain Eukaryota; kingdom Metazoa; phylum Chordata; class Mammalia; order Primates; family Hominidae; genus Homo; species Homo sapiens. The sequence continues at coordinate 14,534,755 of NC_000018.10, forward strand.
TAATTGCTTTTCTACTTAACTGATTTGTGTTGATACTGATCACTATGTCCCAATAAGTATAATTTAATCTTATTAATTTATTATTTATGACTTGAGTGACTGCTATCAATCTAGAACAACACACAGATTAAAAGAAATAACCATACCTTCCATATCTATCAAGTGCATTTAAATTAGCTTTTTTCTTGATTAAAAATTTCACCACTTGCTGTTTTTGTTCATGTACGCCAAGCAAAAGTGGTGTGAGGCCACACTGTAAAACAATATAAAACAAAAACAATATGTAATTCAAAAAATTATGTATTTCTCAACTGAACTGGAAGCTTATGGACTTACACTCACAGAAAGTAAATAAAATTTGGTCACTTCCTTCTCACTCTTCTGTACTTTCCCACATGCCACTCCTTCCCTTGGAAACATCCCTTCTCTGCCTCACCACATTAAATCTGATCATCTCAAAAACTCACTTTAACATTTACTGTTTCCAAGACTCTTTGTTTCTAAACGAGCATTTGGCATGGCACTTTTGGATGATTTTTTTTTTCATTTAAACAAAAAGCTTCTTGAGGGCGGGGGCTGTATCTTTTATCTCTATATTATCCAACCCTAAGACAAAATTGTTGTGTATAAAGCAAGAATTTGAATGTAAAATATTTCTTTAGTTTCACATGTTTTACCAAAGTTCAAGCTCCAACGTGCAATAAATATTGCTATTAATAATCACACTGCCCATTTCAAGAATTTTTCCAACATTTATTCATTTAAAATCTATTTGTATTTAATTTTTCCAGATTGTTAACTAGATAGATAATCAGTTCATAGGATTACTGAAACTAAGAGATTTCCTATCTGTATTCTTAATAACTCCATGGTTTTTAGTGTTTAAACCTGCCATCCTGATTAAGCCAAAGCTCTACAAACTTAAGAGACATACTGGATAATACAGCTTCAATTGAAAAAAAAGGTTTAGAATTTGCTACAATTCTGAGAAAACTCTGCTCTTAAAAACGACTTACTGACCTAAGCACTTGAATGATTGAACAAAGGGACACAAAGTCCTGAGAGAGCCATCCTCTACTTATTGGAAGACTACTCACTGCAAATTTCTAAAGACCTTCTGAATGGCAGTGAATAACTGATGGTAGAAAGGAAAAGCTATTATTCTGTAAGCTGATAGATAGTGCCAATAATATTCATTTTAATGTCCCAACGACAGAGATAAGTCAGACTAGGCCAGGAATGGTGGCTCACACCTGTAATCTTAGCATTTTGGGAGCCTGAGGTGGGTGATTCACTTGAGCCCAGGAGTTCAAGATCAGCCTGAGAAACATGGCAAAAACCTCATCTCTACTAAAAAAAAAATACAAAAACAGATTGGAGGACCACCAGAGCTTAGGGATGTCAAGGCTGTGGTGATCTGTGACCGCATCACTGCACTCCAGCCTGGGGAACAGAGTGAGACCCCATCTCAAAAACAAACAAAAATTTAGATTAATGTTATTGGAAAGGAAAGATTTAAAGGAATTAGCACATATCCAACTCCAACTCTTCTAGAAATATCTGAAGTTTCTGAGATATAAGAATTTACATATTACACTTATGTATTCAGTGGTTAAGCAGGAGTGTATCCGGATTTTGAGAAATTTGTTGTTGTTGTTGTTAGAGACAGGGTCTCATTATGCTGACCAGGCTAGACTAGAACTCCTAAGCTCAAGCAATCCTCCCACCTCAGCCTCCCTAGCAGCTGGGACTACAGCCATGCACCACCATGCCTGGCTTCAAGGAAACATTTTTAAACATACATATCCAGGCTTTATTAGACTTACTCTATCAAAATCTTCAGGGGAAAACCTAGACTTGAAGATTATTTAAAAATTTTCCTGAGGTAACTGGAATGCACAACTCTAGCTGGAAGCTAGTGCAATAGACAATTATTTCAGTCTCATCTCTCATCCACATAAACAATTCCCTTTATCATTTGAGGATCTGGCCAAAAAGAGGAAAGAGTAGGAGAGAGACTCATTTGCTGAAAACACCACAAAATTTTCCCCAGTAAGAGTAGAACAAGGTCTAGTAAACTCAAAATCCAACCTGATCTTTTTACTTATAAGCCTCTTATCTCCCACCTTCCCATCAAGACATTCTAGAATTGAAAGCAGAGTTGAGACTCTAATTGGCCATTTCTACCAGAATAGGATACTAAGTTGGTTAATTACTTGTTATTCCTTCTACTCAAGGGTTTCCCACTACATTACCACATATTCACTGCCAATCTGGTTCCTCAGAGGCCTCCTAAAATTTATCTCTAGGCAGTTTACAACCCACTAACTCCCTCTCCCAAACTGAAAACTGTCATTCTCTAAAATGGAAAAGAACCCTGTCTCACCATATAAAGGAAACGAATGAACAACAATAACAACACACACACACACACACACACACACACACACACACACAAAAAAAAAAAAAAACAAAAAAAAACCTCTTCATGGTCTTTTCCCCCATTACCTAATTTCCAAGTTGGCCTTGATATTTCTGATTGCTGCATTTTTCCCTTTCCACTTCTGCCTCATGAGCAATCAGAAATATCTTAAGCCTTGCCACTGAGAGATACATCACCTCATATCTATTAGTGTTTTTTTAGGAATTTGTCAAAGTAGCAGGATTACTATTCACTGAAACATGTTTAAGTTTTCTTGGAGTTTTAATGTAAAACCTATTTCCAGGGCAAATTTTGTCATTTTACATTCGTTAGGGAAAAAAAAGTTGGCAGGGAAAAATTGAAAAAAAAAAGTATTACCTTTTACAAATTCAGTGTTTTTTTTAAAAAAGCATTAACCACAAGTGCACTGAAAAAACTGTACCCTCTAATGCTTCTTTAAAAGTAACAATATTTAAAATAAAGTCTTAGATAATTAAGTCATTTCAAAATATTTTCATTCAGGTTATGCTTGAGCTTCCAAATACGGAAAACTGGCCCTTACACAGGTCAATGTTAACACGAATGCATTTCAGTATTTTGAAGATAAAATTGGTAGATCTATACCTTGTTTTTTGATTCAATATCAGCACCATATAAGAGCAGTGCTTTGGCCATTAATTTATCTTCATTGTGGACAGCATAGTGTAGAGTGGTATTTCCATACTCATCTGGAATATTTTGATCAGCGCCATGTTCCAGCAACATTAACACACATTCATCTTCCTGGCATTGTACGGCCTGTCAGTATTAGACCAAAAACAAATTATTAAGTCCTAGGAATTCAAAATAACATTCCACAGCTTTCACCAACTAGTTATATTTAAATGAGAAAACTCATTTTTATGCTATCTATTGAAATCAAACCCATCTCACGCTGATATAGTTGACTACTGCATACCTTTATCAGAGCTGTCCTTTTTTTGTTGTCAAGGACATTAAGTTGACATCGTCTGTCCAGCAGGAGTTGTACTACTTCTGAATTTCCATTGGCAGAGGCCAAATGTAGAGCAGTCCTATGAGAGTGAGAAGACTTCAGGAAATTGTAGTGCACTAGCTAATGCCACATTAATGATTCATGTAGTTGCAAACACTGAATAGCCTATTACTCTGCCTTCAAAACAAACTCAATTTTCCTTTGAAGAAAGCACACTACTTATTACCTCTCATTACTCACTGTATTAATGAAAGAGCAGCCTATTTGAATAGAAAGAGCACAGCTCTTGGATGACATTCAACTTGGGCTGGAATCCTACTTGAAGCTCTGTCGCTTCCTAGCTGTTGCTTAGCCTTTTTGTGTCTCAATTTCCTCATCAATAAAATGGGAATGAAAATAGTCAGTTTCTCAGAGGAAACCACTGTAATGCTTAAATAAGACTCTACACAAAATATAGAATAGTTCCTAACACAAATAACAGCTCAAAAATTGTAAGATATTATAATTTTTACTAATACCACTAAAGACAACATTTGAATTAAGTGAAACGATACAATTAAACCTACACTTTCAGGTACATTTTAAAGATTACAGGTAGCGCTGTACTGTATTTTATTGAGTCTAAGATGGTCATTGTCTCCATGTTTTAACATTTCTTACACGGAAATACCACTTATAATTCATGATTTACTATAATTATAATTGGCAGCATTTAAATAATTTTCTTAGTGAGACATAAAATACAATCCCTGGTGCCTTACATTAAGTAGAATATGTTATAATATAACAGGTCTGGGGCAGTTCCAGTCAGATGACTAGCATTTAGATAAATTTTAGTTCTTAAAAGAACTATGGAATAAGAGGGCTGAGGTGAAAACAAAAACAATTTTCTAAAATAATCTATTTCTTACTTTGGTTTTCAAAAACTTTAAGCCAAAGAAAACTTGAAATTCAAATGAATAGCATGGGCTCATTTTTTTCAATACTTAGATTTATAAAATGTATGTACATCAGATATTTCTAATCATTCATATTAGGATTTAAGACTGTTATAAATTTTCTCTTTTTAAAATGGATTTATGAAACTATTTGTGGAGCTTTTTTCAACTTTTACATTCGGGGATACAGGTGCAGGATGTGCAGGTTGGTTAACATAGGTAAACGTGTGCCAAGGGGGTTGGTTGTACAGATTATTTCATTACCCAGGTGTTAAGCCTAGTACCCGTTAGTTCTATTTCCTGCTTCTTTCCTTCCTCCCACCCTCCACCCTCTGATAGGCCCCAGTGTATGTTGCTTCCCTCTAGGTGTCTGTGTGTTCTCCTCATTTAGCTCCCACCTATAAGTGAGACCACGCAGTATTTGGTTTTCTCTTCCTATGTTAGTTTGCTAAGGATAATGGCCTTCAACACCATCCATGTCCCTGCAAAGGACAGGCTCTTGTTCTTTCTTTTATGGCTACATAGTATTCCATGCTGTTTATGTACCACATTTAAGTTCTTAAAACAGCTAAAACAGTCTTTACCCAAGCCTTATACATTTTCAAAAGGGCAGTTAAGGGTTATCTTTCACTATTTTCCACCTTCAGAAATGCTTTTGTTTGAAAGCAGGGAGGAAAAGCTTCAATTGAGATTAAGTCCTAATGCCCCAATTTTGATTCTCTCAGCTTGCTCAGGCGCAGCAGGTAAACATGAAGTTTTCAAAGGTGGAAGGATCCTGAGAGATGGCAGAATATGCCTGCCATATAATAGGTGTCTGGCTTATGTTTGATGACTAAACGGATTGAAAGAATGGATAAACATAGGTTGGAAGTTCAATATTTTTAAAAGAAAACTCCTGTTGAGTAGAGCAATACATTTGTGATAGTAACGATCATTTATATTTGCTATTTTAGTTTTCATAAATATATAACTAAACTAAAATAATTAATCCATACTATTTACACATGTTAATCTATATATAATGAAAGATAATTATATAATAAAATGTATATACAATAAAATCTACCAGAAGAGGTAAACAGAAGCCCTCTACTTCTGAAGAGGGTAAAAGTTCACAGAAGATAGCCATCCACAGGTATAAAAATAAATAATAGAATGTGAGAAATTATTTGTATCTATGCAAGTAGCATATTCCTTCTCTTCCCAAGTATTATTTCATTACTAATGAAACTTAACTAAAACTTTTCAGATGTTCATTGCAGAAATCACAGATAAGAGAAAGGGAAAAACTTCACTTACAAATCCCCAGAAATAAGTTTGATTATATTTTCCACATATTTCCAGCTAACACAAGAGCAGATTCTGTTTGTGTATATGTATAACAAACTGATTTTTTCTCACTTGATATAGCAAAGTACATCTTTGCATGCCGACATATCTCTGTATCTACTGACACCCTCAATGGTTACATATTATTCCATCCTATGGATGCACTAAAATTTGTTCATAAAATCTTTATATGAGTTCTCAACACATGGCTATTTTAAGCAATACTAAGAAAAACAGCTGTGTCTGTTTCATATAGATATTTCAGTATAATGGAATAGATGGGTAAAAGGCATACACATTTTAAAAATGTGGTTCTTACCATCAAAGTGTCTATTTGAAAAGTCGCAGCAACTTAAACTTTCAGCAAGTAATATAAGTACCACTGTTCTTCACCCTCACAAACTTTGTGGACAGAAAACAGTATTTCATTCCTCTATATTTATTTATTTATTTTTATTTATTTATTTTTTTGAGATGGAGTCTCACTCCATCACCCAGGCTGGAGTGTAGTGGTGCAATCTCAGCTCACTGCAACCTCCGTCTCCCTGGTTCAAGCAATTCTCCTGCCTCAGCCTCCTGAGTAGCTAAGATTACAGGTGCATGCCACCATGCCCAGCTAATTCTTTGTATTTTTAGTAGAAACGGGTTTCACCACGCTGGCCAAGCTAGTATCAAACTCCTGACCTCGTGATCCACCTGCCTTGGCCTCCCAAAGTGCTGGGATTACAGGCATGAGCCACCATGGCTGGCCTTTCATTCCTCTTCTAACTTAAACAGAAAATAGTCTTTCATTCCTCTTCTAACTTAAATTCCTTCTCTTAGCAGGAATGCTATGTTTTCCTATGTGCACAGGTCACTGGTAGACATGCAAAAAAGTACCTTGCCCAATTTTAAATTGAGCTTATTTTATTATATCTGCATATATATGCCGGTTTCAGAGGCTCATGACTGTAATCTCAGCACTTTGGGAGGCTGAGGTGGGTGGATCACAAGGACAGGAGTTCAAGACCAGCCTGGCAAAGATGGTGAAATCCCGTCTTAAGAACACAAAAAAGTAGCCAGGCATGGTGGTGGGTGCCTGTAATCCCAGCTACTTGGTAGGCTGAGGCAGAGAATTACTTGAACCAGGAACCAGAGGTTGTAGTGAGCTGATATTGCACCACTGCACTCCAGCCTGGGCCATGGAGTGAGAGTCTGTCTCAGAAAAATAAATAAATATTTGCACATATAAATAGGCATTTGTGTTTTCTTCTGGTACTTTTCTCCTTTTGTATCTTTAAAATTTTTAATCTATACTCCAGGAACTTATTTTTGTGACATAAAAATCTAGGTAGTTTTCTCCAAACAGCATGCATTTAATTTATGAATAATTCACCTTGTTTTACCAATATGAAACATCACCATTATCAAGTGCTAAATTCTTACATATATTTGGGTATTTCTGGATTTCCTATTCTGTTCTGTTCATTTATGTCTTTTCAGCTGTTAGTAAACAATTTGTGGAAATAACACATGCACATTTTGATATCTGGAAAAGCAAGTCTTTTTCCATTCTGTTACAAAAAATCAATTTATCACAATGATAAAATACATCATGTGCAATTTAAAGACACTAAGACTTTGCTATTTTTATTTGGCTTATGTAAAAGTGATAAACACAGAAAAAGCTCACATCTTAAGAAAAACGAACCTTCCTATTCAAAGATATGAACCATACTTCCCATTTCAGTTTCCTTTTAAGGTTACTCAGTAAAGAACGTATTTACATAGGGCACATCGATATAAAATCCATATTGGATTTTATTTGAAAAATATTTAGCCCAGAAGTTGATATATTATGGGGCTTAGTTCTCAATATACACCTTTCTATAGTGTATAGAACATTGTTTTAAAATGTGTACATTAAAAATAATCTGCTGCATTGACTTAATTTTGCGAGTTAAATCACTTTAAAACCGTCTATTAGTGTTCTATAAGGGAAATTATAATTGGATTGAAAATCAGCTAACATTTTTTGTGTTGCTGTTTATAAAGGGACCTGGGCCCTGACCTCTCTGAGGTTTCCACACCCAGGGTGGTGTGGGGCCTGCGGAGGAAGAGAAAGCCTGGCTCCTCCCTCCCTGCGCCAGGAGGGTATGTCCCCATCATCCCCCCATGTCCCGCCTCCTCCCATCCCAGGCCCAGTTACCTCTTTTGCTTGTCCCTCTTGTTCATGTCCGTGTCCCTGAGCATGACGATGAGATCCTTTCTGGGGACCTTACCCCACCAGGCAGCTCTGTGGAGCTTGTCCAGATCTTCTCGACGGACGTGGTACCTCGGCTCCATGAAGGCGCTGTCGTCGTAGTCTCCCCAAGCGCCCACGTTGCTCTTGCCGCTCCCCCTGCAGCAGGGGAAGCAGTGACAGCACCACTTGCCCATCTTGCTCCTGAGCGTCTTCATAAAGGAGTTGTCATGGTCTCCAGAAGTGCCCACGTTGCTCGTGCCGCTCCCCCTGCAGCAGGGGAAGCAGTGGTGGCAACACTTGCCCATCTTGCTCCTGAGCATCTTCATAAAGGAGTCGTCGTGGTCTCCAGAAGTGCCCATGTTGCTCTTGCCGCTCCCCTTGCAGCAGGGGAAGCGGTGGTGAAACCACTTGCCCATCTTGCTCCTGAGATCGAATGGCTTCTTCACAGCAGAGGCAGCGGGCATTGAACAAACCTCAGTCACCATCTGCTTTTAACAGCCCGGGGAGGCCGGTAGTAGCGAACAGATCGCGTCTACCAACCAGTTTCACCAACTAGCAGGAAACCCTGGGTTTCCAATCTGTTTGAAGAGAAAGGTCAATCCCAGCCAAAACTTGCCAACCCCAGCAAGGGAGCCCAGTCCACCCCACCCAGGGAAAACCCACACCCACCCGGGGAAAGCCCACGCCCACCAGGGGGACCCAACGCCCACCCCAGGAAAGGCCAAGCCCCCCCTCCCAAGGAAACACCCAGCCCAGTCAAGGGAATGCCAAACCCAGCAGAGAAAAAGTCAAGCCCAGCAAAGGAATGCGAGGGAGGAAACGCCAATCCAAGCAAGAAACACCAGGCAAAGCGACTAACGCCAAGCCAAGCTAGGAACGCAAGGCCAAGCGAGGAACGCAAAGCGAAGCGTACCCGTTACAGGTAAGCCAAGCCGTTATGCGCGTGCGGGGCGCGCGTGCGGGGCGCGCGTGAGGCGTGCGCGCCTCAGACGTTACGCGGCGTGCGCGTGAGGCGTGCGCGCGTCATTGCACGTGGTGCAGGAAGTGGCCGATGTGTGCAATCCGGGTGCGCAAGTCTTGGCGCCACAAATGTCAGTGACAGCCTTGCGTTACTGGCAAAGTTCATGGGAGTTGGCCCAGCTTTCGGGCCACTGAGGAGAAGCCTGTGGTGGGAAAAAGCCTCTTGAAGCAGGACTGGGGCTAGAGCGCCTGGAACTCGAAGATGCTGACAGCCTCCTCTGAAGAAAGCCCCCAAGACACTAGTGGTGGTGCTGTTGCGGGTGGCCGCCGCTGCAGCTTAGAGCTCTGGTTGGCGGAGCTGGATGCAAATGGCCTCAAAATCTCCGAGCACAAGACGCCCACGGAGCCCAGGGCCTGCCTGAGGCGCCTTCCACACCTGCTCCTCCTTGGTCCGCACCCAGAACACAGGGTCATCAGCAACGGGGCACTCGGGGCCACAGAATCGGGGCTGGGCTGCTAGCTCCTGCTGTGGTGCCCCCTGCCTGGTGTCCAAACCAGGGCCAACAGCTGTGGGGCTTCTGGCCCGGGGTGCTTCGCTTCACTGGCATGCAGTAGGGTTGAGGTGCAGGCCGCTGTCTCCAGGCCTGCAAGAGGGAGCTGGGAGGAGCACCTACCACTGATGGGGAGATGCAGGAAGGCACCCCCACGTGCAGATCCTGGGAACAGGACACTGCCAGCACCAGGGAGCCAGATCGGAGCCTCCCTGGCAGCCTGTGAGCTGGACCCAGGCAGTGGCACCTCGACCCTCCTGCTGGGACCCTCCTGCTGTGCAGGCTTATGTAGCCAGGCTCCAGGCTGCTTCACCCATACTGCAGGTGCTTTGGTGTGGGAGGAAAAATGCATTCTGGCCGGGCACTGTGGCTCACGCCTGTAATCCCAGCACTTTGGGAGGCTGAGGCGGGCGGATCATAAGGTCAGGAGATAAAGACCATCCTGGCTAACACGGTGAAACCTCATCTCTACTAAAAATACAAAATACTAGCGGGCATGGTGGTGGGCGCCTGTAGTCCCAGCTACTCGGGAGGCAGGAGAATGGCGTGAACCCGGGAGGCCGAGCTTGCAGTGAGCCGAGATCGCATCACTGCAACCTGGGCGACAAAGCAAGGCTCTGTCAAAAAAAGAGAGAGAGAGAGAGAGACGGAGAGAAAGAGAGAAAAATGGATTCTAAGCCTGGGACACCGACCTGCTCTTGCCAACAAAAGCAGAGGGGAAGCCAATTACAAGTGCAAAAAAAAAGTTTTTATTTCAGTGGGATGAATGTCTAGGTGTGCAGTCACTGGAGTAAACGTCACTGGGACATGATGTGTAATTCTTTGTGTACATCGCTGAGTTCTGCTGCTAATGTTGTTAAGAATTGGTGTATCCATGTTCAAGAGAATTACCGGGCTATAGTTTACTTTTTTGTACTATTTTGATATCAGAGTAATGTTAGCTTCATAAAATGAATTGGGAAAGATTCTCTATTTTCAGAAAAGATTGTGTGTATTGGTGTCAATTCTTTAAGCAGTACATAAAATTCTTTAGTAAAACCATTTTGTCCTGGAGATTTCTCCTTCAGGAGTCTTTAAAATTAGAAATTAAATGTCCTTACATTTTAGGGCTATTAAATTACCTATTTTAGATTGGGTGAGTTTTGTGGTGGTTTCTGCTTTTCATGAAATTGGCCCATTTTCCCCAAGTTGTCAAATGTATGTGAATGGAGTTGTTCATGACGTTCCTTTATTATCATTTTCATGTCTTCAAGGTCTGTAAGGATAGCCCATTTCATTCATGAAATTGGTAATTTATGACATCCCTTTTTTCTTTATCATTATTAGTTAAGGTTTGTCAATTTTATAGATATTTTCAAAGAACCAGCTTTATTTCTTTGCTTTTCTTTGTTGTTTTCTTTTGGCTGTTTCATTTATTTCTGCTCTTATCCCTATTATATTCTTTCTTATATTTGTTTTGATTTTATTTTGCTACTATTTTCTACTTTCTTGATGTGATAGCTTGAATTTTTATTTGAGAGATTTCTACTTTTCTATTATATACATTTAGTGAAATACATTTTCCTCTCAGCACTGACGTCAACTGTGTTAAATCAAGTTTGATATGTTGTATTTTTATTTTTATTCAGTTTAATATATTTGTTTCCCTTGAGACATTCTCCTTAGAAGTGTGCTTGCTGTTTAGCACTATTCACAATAGCAAAGACATGGAATCAACCTAAATGCCCATCGGTAATACACTGGATGAAGAAAATGCAGTACCCATACAACATGGAATACTATGCAGCCATAAAAATGAAGGAGATCATGTCCATTGCAGGGACATGGATGGAACAGGAAGCCATTATCCTCAGGAAACTAATGCAGAAACAGAAAGCCAAACTTCTAATGTTCTCACTTATAAGTAGGAGCTGAACAATGAGAACACATGGACACAGGGAAGTAAGCAACACACACTGGGGCCTGTGGATGGGGGAGGGAGAGGAGAGCATCGGGAAAAATCTCTAATGCATGCTGGGCTTAAACCGAGGTGATGGGTTGATAGGTAGGGAAAACCACCATGGCACAAATTTACCTATGTAACAAACCTGCACATCCTTCACATCTACCCCAGAAGTTAAAATAAATAAAAATGTAAAAAAAAGAACTAAAAAAGTATGCTGTTTATTTTTCAAGTATTTAAGATTCTGCTGTTATTTTACTTTTTTATTTTTAATTTGATGCCATTTTGGCTGAAGGATACATTCTACAGGATTTCAGTTTTTAAAAAATTCTTAATGTTTGTTAAAATCCAGGATACAGTCCATTTTGGTTTATGTTCTGTGGGTACCTAAATGTTCTGCTGTATTCTGCTGCTAGGGGGTGGAGCCCGTTTTTTTCTTTTTTTTTTTTTTTGAGGCAGAGTCTCACCCTTTTGTCCAGGTTGGAGTGCAATGGCGCAATCTCGGCTTACTGCAACCTTTGCCTCCCGGGTTCAAGTGATACTCCTGCCTCAACCTCCTGAGTAGCTGGGATTACAGTCATGCACCACCACGCCCGGCTAATTCTAGTATTTTTTTTTTTTTTTTTGTGACGGAGTTTCACTCTTGTTGCCCAGACTGGAGTGCAATGGTGCGATCTCAGCTCACCACAGCCTCCACCTCCCAGGTTCAAGTGATTCTCCTGCCTCAGCCTCCCGAGTAGCTGGGATTACAGGCATGCACCACCATGCCGGGCTAATTTTGTATTTTTAGTAGAGATGGAGTTTCTCCATATTGAGGCTGGTCTCAAACTCCTGACCTCAGGTGATCTGCCTGCCTTGGCCTCCCAAAATGCTGGGATCACAGGCGTGAGCCACCGGGCCCAGCCTTAATTCTAGTATTTTTAGTAGAGATGGGGTTTTGCCATGTTGGCCAGGCTGGTCAACTCCTGACCTCAGGTGATCCACTCGCCTTGGCCTCCCAAAATGCTGGGATTACACCCACCGCACCCAGCCAGTGGTGGAGCACTTTATAAATGCCAGTAAGATCCTGTTGCTTGATGGTGTTGTTGAGTTTTTTTTTTTTTATATAACATTGATAGTATTTAGATCTAGTTTTTCTACCAATTATTGAAAGATGCTTGTTGAAGTCTCCAATTACAATTGTTGATTTGTCTATTTATTCTTGCAGTTCTATCAGATTTTGCTTCACATATTTTGTAGCTCTGTTATTGGTTGCACATACATTTAAGATTGCCAAATCTTTTTCGTGAACTGACTCTTTTTTTCTTATGTGATGCCCTTCTCTGTCTCTCCCAATTGTCTTTGCTCTGCAATTAATTTTAGCTGGTATTGAGATAACACTCCTGCCCTCTTTTATTAATGTTTACATAACATACCATTTTTCCTCCTTTTACTTTCAACCGATCTATATTATTATTGTGTGCTAGTGTAGACTCTCATTTCTTCATCTTATGAGTTTTAAAGAAAACTCCTAAGACTGGTTATAAATAGCAAAACAGACCAAATGGCAATAACCACCTACCCACTAAATCTTGTCATGTGATATTCCTGTATATCATACTTGCACCTTCTCTGTTCAATCATTGTGACCCACTTCAAAGAATTTGGCAGGTTCAGCACAGTTTCTTATATACATAACTAATTGTCCAACCTTTCTCAAATTTCCAGTCAAATCTTAGCTCTATTTACAAAACATATATTTTGGATAGCAAACTAAAATTTATTTTTTTACTAAATTCCATATCAATTCCTCTCTAAGAGCCACGGTAACTCTTTCTTTCCTGGTATCCAAAAGACACAACCTTGGCTGGCTCTGATTAACATTTGCTTATACATGCTGATAGGCCCACTAAACTATGCAATTATGACAGAATAATATTAAAAAGCTTAGAATTAATCTGTTTTCAAGCCCAAGAGTATATGAAAAATATAGAACATTTACCAATTAACTTTGTATTAGGCACTTCACACATTTCTCATATTCTTATTTAATCCTTGTAATTGCACAAATGATCTTCTGTGGTAGGCATCATCATCTCTTCTTTACAACCGAAAAACTGAACTGAACATCAGGTAGCTGGAATTAAGCTGGGCTTTTACTGACACTCACCTTTGTGCCAGTCTTAGAGAGGTTGCACATCTGACTAAAATGTTCACACTTCTCTGAATCCGCTCCATGTGTAGTGTCTTTCTACTATGGCTTGGTGACCCAGGTTTACTCCTGGGGCTTGCTTTGACCAGTGGAACTTTGGCAGGCATTACAAAAGCAAAGGCTTAAATGGAGTTTGCATAATTAGACTTGATTTGTGCCTCTTTCACTACCATGAGACAAACATATCTCAGCTAGTCTCTTGTTTCCAGGAAGATGAAAGAAAGGTGGTGCAGATCCTCGTTAGATAATTTGCCCAATGCAAGCCAGTAAATAATAAAACCCCCTCCAGTCAGTAAACTGCAGAAGTGCAAGTTCAGTGAAGCCCAACTAGTTTCAACCTAGATCAATTTGGTCTTAGATGTTTCCAGATACTTGAGCTGAGAGGATAAATGATTATTTTTCTGAGTTGTGGGGTGGTTTGTTATGCTGCAGTTGATAACCAATACAAAATTGGAAACTCTTTCCTCTGCTTTTTGCAGATGACAAAATGAAACACAGTGTCTGATTGGAGAAGCTTACAGAAGTGTTGAAGCATCTTTGTTGACCGTGCATAAGGAAAGTTCAACATTAATGTTAAGAGGCCAGAAAGACTGGGTTTAGGTGGCTTGTTAGTTTTTCTGTCCGAAAACAGTACATGATGTTCTCTATTAATCTAGGACAAAAGATGAGAACTGAAAGGAAAGGATAGAATACTCTCCATGATGTACTGTAGTAACACACCGGTATACTTCTCAGTATATAAATGTCAAAAAGAATTGTTCTGACTAGCTCCTCTCTGTATGCCCTGCTGGAAGAGGTAAAATATAACATGCAAGACTCACTTTTGCAGTTAAAGTAACCAGGGAAATTTTAAACGTTCCATCATGGTTTGACAAACTATAGCCCATAAGCCAAATCTAGCCTGCTGCCACTTTTTATTAAGTTTCACTGAAGAAGACAGCCATATCTCTCATTACATATTGCCTATTGCTGCTTTTGCTCCACATTAGCAGAGGTGAGCAGTTGAGAGCGACAATACAGCACATAAAACTTGAATTACGGTGGTGGCTGCTTTCCCCCTCTCTATTTGCTTGTCCTTTATCTGTTTTCTTTCTTCTTTTCTTTTTTCTTTTTTTTTTTTTTGAGACGGAGTCTCTCTCTGTGGCCCAGGCTGGAGTGCAGTGGTGGGATCTTGGCTCACTGCAAGCTCTGCCTCCTGGGTTCACGCCATTCTCCTGCCTCAGCCTCCCGAGTAGCTGGGACTACAGGTGCCCGCCACCACACCTGACTAATTTTTTATATTTTTAGTAGAGACGGGGGTTTCACTGTGTTAGCCAGGATGGTCTCAATCTCCTGACCTCGTGATTCACCCGCCTCGGCCTCCCAAAGTTCTGGGATTACAGGCGTGAGCCACCGTGCCCGGCCTTGTCCTTTTTCTGTTTTCACACTCCTCCCGGCTGTGTAGTCACTCATTCTCTCTCATTTATCACAGCCTTTCCCAGTCCTGACTTACTATCTGGCTCATTTTAGAAAATGTTTGCTGACCCTTGCTGTAGAGTGCTGTAGGAAGGCATGGCTGGAAGACGTTGGACTAGAGCAGGAAAGTACAGCTGATCATGTGAGGAAATCGTGTTGGTGTAGTTGTGGCTGTGGTTGTAGTACTGTGGTTGTACTTAACAAATGGGAAAAGAGACATGATTGCAGGGAATTCTCACTGGAGTCCATTGTGAAATTTGAGGTCGATGCTTCTGTCACTCACCTGCTGTAGAAAATTATTCAATGGCTTATCTACTTTAAAAAATCTTATTTTTATGCAGCACCTTTACAACATTAGTGTCATCCCAAAGATTTAACTTGATTTCTAGATGGAAATTTGAACCAAGAGAAATGGGACACTCTGGAAATGTAGCCAGGCCCAGATATATTTTCTATAAAACATCGTGTGTGTGTGTGTGTGTGTGTGTGTGTGTGTGTGTGTGTGTGTGTTTAAAAGGTATCAGTCAGATATTGCCCCAATAATATGTATGCTTGGATCAAGCACAAAGTGTAGACATAACTGCAAGGCATATGCTGTCTGACCATATTTCAGAGCGCTCTAAATTATTTATTTGTTGTGTGCATCCTCCAGCCCTGACAAATCCCCAAGGATGAAATAAAGACTACACTCCTTTCCACTTCAAAGTTCCTCTCAGTTTTACTGTTCAAATTACGGTGGTGGCTGCTTTCCCCCTCTCTATTTGCTTGTCCTTTATCTGTTTTCTTTTTTCTTTCTTTTTTTTTTTTGTTTTTTTTTGAGACCGAGTCTCTCTCTGTAGCCCAGGCTGGAGTGCAGTGGCGCGATCTCGGCTCACCGCAACCTCTGCCTCCCGGGTTCACACCATTCTCCTGCCTCAGCCCCCGCTAGCAGCTTGGACTACAGGCGCCCGCCACCACTCCTGGCTAATTTTTTGTATTTTTTAGTAGAGAAGAGGGTTTCGCCGTGTTAGCCAGGATGGTCTAGATCTCCTGACCTCGTGATCCGCCCAGTAAACTAGTTTTCTGTAGCTTGTATACTGTCATATATTCACAAGGATTCATAAAAGAAATATTCATTCTTTTACATTGTTTCATATCTCTTAATACCTTTATTTTCTCTTTATTTTCCTTCAGATTTATGAACTAAAACGTTAATGCTTGAAGCTGAAACTTTTTCCCTCAGCTTTTGTACATGTAAATCTCTTTTTATATTGCAACTCTTCTTGCCATGTTCAACGTTATTAAAATATGTTCACATTTTTGTAGATGGATTGTTGTGCTAGTAACATTTTTGTAAACACTTTTCCTTTGACTACCTTAATTTGCTTTCGAATTTTTTCACAATCCTTACAATATCATGAATTTTGAAAACATGGAATAAGGGCTTCTGACATTAAGAAGAATGGGTTTAACGAAATCAGCTAATTTGGTTTCTGAGTATATTTTGCCACTCTTTAGCAAAACCATCATAAAATTGTGATAGAAGATGTCTGTTAGTTGTATGGGTGGATTGTTTTAAACACTGGCTGGGTATGCATAAACAGTCATTTTCTTTTTTTTTTTTTTTTTTTGAGACAGAGTCTCACTCTGTCACCCAGGCTGGAGTGCAGCGGTGTGATCTTAGCTCGCTGCAAGCTCCGCTTCCTGGGTTCATGCCATTCTCCTGCTCAGCCTCCTGAGTAGCTGGGACTACAGGCACCCACCACCACGCCTGGCTACTTTTTTGTATTTTTAGTAGAGACAGGGTTTCACCGTGTTAGCCATGATGGTCTCGATCTCCTGACCTGGTGATCTGCCCGCCTCGGCCTCCCAAAGTGCTGGGATTACACACATGAGCCACTGCACCCAGCCTATATAGTCATTTTTTAAGATAGAATTTTAATTTTAGAATAGGTTTAGATTGCTAGAAAATTGACTATAACACAGAGTGTTCTCCCATACCCCACACTCAGTTTCCTCTCTCAGTAACTTCTTGTACTAGTATGGTAACTTTTTTGAAACTAACAAGCCAATATTGCCACATGATATTAAATTAAAGTCCATACATTGTTTAGATTTCCTTAATTGTTATCAAATGTTATGAAGCCATTTTGATAGGAGAAAAATTTATGGTATATATATACAGATTGACCACCTCCAAAGAAAGAGGGGAGGTAAATAATAAGAAGGTCTGATGTTTTGCTATAATTTTTACAATCACAGTTTTAAATCATGGCATTTTCCAAAATTTATTAGCTATGTAATCATAGTCAAGTTACTTTGCCTCTTTAAGCCCTACTTCCTTTATGTAAAAGTGAGCAAAACAATAGTATCTCACAGATTGGTGATGAGCATTAAATAAAATGTTGCAGATAAAGTTCTTAGTAAAGTCTGGAACATAGTTCTCAATAAATGTTGGCTATTTTTGCTATTATTACTAAATTTAAAGGCTGAAGACAAGCCGACTGATAGTATTCAGAATTACTCATAGAATGTTTATATTGGCTCAGACTGATGAGTATAACAGACCCAATATTCACATTATCTCCAGGTACAATTTGCCCTATGAGACACCTGATATAGTAAGTAGCCCGTCAGGTATCCAGCAGTAAAAACTAAATTAGAAGAAGGAAGTCCTGTCCCAACTGTTTTGACATATTGTGGCTGAATTTTTAGGTTTTAGTGAAAATAATAATGATGGCTTGATCTTCAAAGTTTTTTTTTTACCATTTCCCAAATAGCTGGGGATTATTGTAGTGTAACCACTTAAAACTCTGATGAAATGTGGAAATAATTTCTTTTTCTAATTGATACTTTGTGAGTGCAACTACTTTGCATTGTGCAGAGAGAAAAATATATATTCCAGGTATTCGCCATATCAAAAGTGCACAAACAAGTCCCTAAATTTCTTCCTGTCCTCAGATTTGCACCATAAAGTTTCAGACCAAATAAAAAATTGTTTTTTCACTAATTTTCTTTGAGGAAATGTAAGAGAAAAAAAAGAAACAAGTGTTTTGAAGGGTAGAATTTTGGCAATTATATGAGATTGTAAAATCTGAATGTGGATTAGCTTCAACCCATCAAAGATTCAAGAACAGCTACAGTTCTAAGAATGAGCCAAAAAAACCCCAAAAAAACAGGTATGCATTGAGGGGAGGGAATTAGGAAGGGAATTTATAGCCATTCAGACATTTTTCCAACATTAAGCCTTCACGAATTTTGCATTGGAAAGAAAAATTTATAAATTAAGAAACTCAGTATCCAGTCCACCCTGTGATAAATGCTGCAATGTGCCCAAGCATTCCTAGTTGAGTATGGCTTTGTGCTTTGCCAATCATAACAATGGGAGAGAGAAGTAATAAGAGCCTGCATGAAGCACTGTGCTAATGATAATGTTCCCAGTAAGAACAAAAGAGAGGCTATTACTTTTAAACATCATTGAATATAATCAAACACTGGGTAGGCTTGTCTGTATTTAGATTTTATAACTCTATGTTTATAGCTATAAAATAAAAAAGACATGAAATTTCTGTCGTTAAGAAAACTATTTATTATTACAAATGTGAATTTCTCTAGACGGTAAATTCTTTGAAATTAGTTGACTTCATGTAAGTTTATTTGTTCAGTAACACAGAGTAGACTTCTTGTAAATAGGAACAAGCATGCATCTGATCAAGATCCACTATTTTCTTATATATATATCCCTTTTCTGCCCTCCCTCAGAATACTATCTTTCACAAAACAACACACATCTCTTCCACCAACTTCTCCCCAGAATATTGCATATTCGATCAGTGTCCACAAATGTTAGATACAGAATGTTAAATTACTATTAGGTTGGTGCAAATGTAGTTGTGATTAATGGCAAAAATCTCAATTATTTTTGCACCAACCTAATAGTAACATTGAAAAACAGTATTAGTTATTCAACATCAAAAAGATCTTCCGGAACAGTCATCACCACAGATGGGCCGAACTATTATTTGTAGGGCATTGCAGTAAGTTAGAATTTTATCAAATTCATAAATTAATGGATATTTTGTTAAGGGATGTGAACAGCCTGTAGTATAAATTTGAGCTATACATTGTTGGGAGAACAAAATAATAAAACAATATAATAGTAGCAATCACGTGGTGACCTTTCCATCACACTTACAATTTTCAATGCACTTGTCTATTTATCATTTCATGCGTGGATGGGTTAGCTGAGTGGCGGGGCCATCAGATGTCATATATACAGATGACTCCCTTCTATACACCCTTCTGCAATTAGTTGATGTATATTTTACTTTTGCTTTTCCCTTCCCATTTCACTACTAGTTAAAAATCCTAATCTTGAGTCCTAAATCACACCTAGTTTTACTCATGTGTAGTTGTACCTGACAAAGAATTACACTACATAAATTCCATCCATTAGAGGTGTGGCCAAATGGACAGAAAACCATTAACATTGATTACTTCAGTGCATGTGGGATTGCAAATGCAGATGAGAAGGAGAAGATTTTTATTTTTTCTTTATATAAGTTTACCTTATTTATTCTAATAGAAGGCTCAAGTATCATTTATAGTGAAACATTAAAACTTTCTTAAAAGTTCATGTCCTTAATGTTCTGTAAAGGGAGCATAAACTCATTTATTGCAACAAATGCAACAATTTATTTCATTCCTCAGATTATTGATCCTAATATAAATAAAACTGTTCTGAACTTGCACAGAGATATTTAAACAAACAAACAAAAACTAGAGAAGAAGTGAAAAAAAAGAATGCTTTTTAAATTACTTAATCATTGTTGATGGACTGAAAACATCCAACTTACATCTCCTGAATTAAATCTGATATTTTCCTGGAGAGTAGTGAGGAGTAGTTGAGGGTAGATAGAAAACAGAGTGTATTTTGAAAAATGTAAAATTTAGAGAAGCTTAATTTAAACACTCCCTGTGTGTCAAAGAGCTATTAAATAAAATTTTCATGATTTTAATGTAAGTCAATCTGAACTAGCATATGGTCTAAATTTCTCTTAGGTTGCACATGGATTTAAAATGTAGGGGGAAAAGATCACTTGGCAAATATGCTTTTGGTTTTGAAAAACTTCCAAATGTTTAAAAAGTACTTTTCAAATCAACCATAGCCATATGCATCCAGGTTTTCTCATTCTCACCACTGAAGGATAAAAAGAACTAGAATTAAGGCAAAATGGATGGAGAGGTCATACATATGCTGTAAAACTAAAATCAGTTGATTCTTTAGGGAATTGGTTAAAAAAATAAATTTAGTCCTTATGGCAATTTAACCCAAAGAATCTAACACTTATTCTTAGTGACTTAGGATCATGGATGATATTAATCTGTCACAAAATGATTCTATGACTATTTCCAGAAGTGGAAAAGTGCAGAAATAGAAAATGCACATGATATTGCTATTTTATTTTGTTCCAAGTCTTGTTACTATTGGTGGAAAACAGTGTTCCAAAGGAATGAATATTTAGATAAATTATGGCATGAAGAATCATTTTCAATCCTTTATGCATAGATACATTGATAATAACTGAACATCTTTGGCATCTGGCTTCCAGATACAGTGACGATTCCCTCACGATATCTAGAAATTAAATAGATGTGCATGAACACTTTAAAAAATGTAAAAACATTAAATGTCAGCTATTTTGAAATAAGTTATTTTTTTAAATAAGAAGCATTGTTAATTAAAAATTAGAAAATAGAGAGCTATATTTGGACAATTAGTTACTCAATGTTTTTTCCAAATAACAGATGAAATATATTTAGACGTTTTTTGTTTTAAATAAATGCAAATATATAGATGTAAAACAAATCAGACATTGCTACAAATGAAATATGTGTGCTGTCTGTAATTCTCAAACATTGAATAATATTCAGTGAACTTCAACACATGCCTCTGGTGGCCCGTTAAAATTCATTGTAATGAATTTTGAATTAGACTCCAAAATGAACACACTATTTTCTTAGCTTTTAGTGTCTGTTGGTTTTTTTCTATTTTCATTTTTTTTTTTTTTTTTGACTGAGGTGGAGTCTCACTCTGTCACCCAGGCTGGAGTGCAGTAGCGCAACCTCGGCTTACTGCAAGCACCGCCTCCCAGGTTCAAGCGATTCTCTTACCTCAGCTTCTCAAGTAGCTGAGGTTACAGGTGCGTGCCACCACGCCCAGCTAATTTTTGTATTTTTGGTAGAGATGAGGTTTCACCATGCTGGCCAGGCTGGTCTCGAACTCCCGACCTCAGGTGATCCACCCACCTTGGCCTCCCAGAGTGCTGGGATTACAGGCGTGAGCTACTGCACCTGGCTGGTTTTTTTTTTTTTTCTATTTTCATTACTAAGACTAAACAATAGTTATGTGACTGAATACAGCTGATCATTTTACCAACTCCTTTCAGCAAATTCATTTTGTCATTTTAATTAAGTACAAATTTAAGAAGTGAATAAATATAGATACTATAGCACATATATTTCCCAAAACATAATATGTGTGTGTGTGTGTGTGTGTCTGTGTGCATTTGGGAAATAAAAGAGTATTATATTTTACTCAAACAACATCAAACATGCGGTCAGGTAAGTTTGATGAAGAAGGTAATATTTCAGCCTAAGAATGAAAATTCTGTAAGACAATGTGTTACTTTATAGTATCAGTTATGTGACCCTTCCACATTGATATTTTGGGTGCAATTAAACCCTCTTTGCCATATACCCTTGGGAGAATAGAAGGTTCTTCACGTTTTTCCATTCATTATAACTTCTGTAGGATGGCCCACAAATACATTTCCTGGACTATATTAAGGAAACGAAAGCAAACAAATATGAGAAAATAATAAAGGTAAGTGTCTGGGAGGGTGGGAAATCAAATTCAGTGGGGTTTAAACTATATCTCATACAAGTGCCCCAAAGTTGTGCTTTTAGAGAAATTCACCTTGGAAAGAGACATGGTCAAGTGATATATTCCCTTTACCTTTTTAAAAAAACAATACATAGCTGTATCCTTGGAAGAGAGGCAAGGAGTGCTGTAGGGTGACTATCTTTGATTTCTGTTGTGCTTCAGAGGAAGTGTAACTTTCTTAAAAGATACCTTGACTTTTGTCATATTTAGCTATTCGTTCCTTTTTATTTAGGAAAAAAAGTCTGAGCCTGCTGTGGCTTGGGCTCTTATTATCTTTTCTTGGACTTCTTGGATCTCATAAATGATAACTCTACTTTTATTGTTGCCTTCTCCAAAGGAACCTGAATACCAGCGTCACCTTCATTTACCCTAAAGCATGATTCTCTGCCTAAGAAAACCCCTATAGCTGACATTTACATTTACTTTATACCTCTCTTAATCTTTTGAGGAATGCCTCTCTACCTATTCTGCATAGTAAAGTTCTAATTAATTACAACTATGAAACAGATATTTCCTTTTCTTATGTTTTATATATTGAATTACTTTATTATTGCCAAGCACAATCTGCTTTGCTAAATTATTCAATATAAGCTTGCCTCTTCCATTAGACTTTGGAATTCCTGAGATAAGAAATTACGTTTTATTCTGAAAGTGTGCTTAAATCAATGGAAAGATGGTTTGTCCAAACAGGATATAGAGGAATAGAGTTATTCTGTACACAGCCACCTTTAGTTGCAAGAGCGGCTAGAAATAGGAGTTATGCTACCTTTTTAAAGACGTCCTCAGCCAGGTGCAGTGGCTAGTGCCTGTAATCCCAGCAATTTGGGAGGCTGAGGCAGGCGGATCAGGAGGTCAGGAGATCGAGACCATCCTGGCTAACACGGTGAAACCCAACTCTACTAAAAATAAAAATAAAAATAAAAATAAAATAAAATAAAATAAATTAGCTGGGTGTGGTGGTGAACGCCAATAGAGGCAGAAAATCGTTTGTTTTAACATCCATTCATGTCTGTAAAAAATTCTAAGTACATTGGAAATGAAAGGGAACCTCTCCAGTCCAATAAAGGGCAATTATGAAAAACCTATAGCAACCATTATAACATATGATAAAATCTTGAATGCATGCCCCTTTAAGATTAGGAAGAATGCAAGTATTCATGCTTTCACCACTTCTATTCAACATGTGCTAACCACTGAAATAAAGTTTTTTTTTAAAGGTATTAATATTAGGAAGAAAAAATAAAAATCTATTTATTCATAGAAGAAATATATGTGTAGAGCATACTATGGTGTCTTTAAAGAACTATAATTTACAAGGAAATTTATCAAGGGTTGCAGGATACAAGATCAACATTTAAAAATCAAATCTTGGTGAGAATGTGAAACAACTATTAACTCTGAAAAATGAAACAAAGTAAACTTAAATGTTCTTCTTCCTTTGATTTTTTTGTATAAAGTGTTAAGGATATAAAAATATTAGAAGTCATGCCATAAAAGTAAAAAAAGAAAAAAATTCTCTTTGAATTTTTATTTTTTGACTTTTCTTTTCTTTTCTTTTTTTTTTTTTTTTTGAGATGGAGTCTCGCTCTGTCGCCCAGGCTGAGTGCAGTGGTGCGATCTCGGCTCACTGCAAGCTCCACCTCCCGGGTTCAGGCCATTCTCCTGCCTCAGCCTCCTAAGTAGCGGGACTACAGGCGCCCGCCACCACGACCAGCTAATTTTTTTTTTTTGTATTTTTTTTTTGTATTTTTTATTAGAGACGGGGTTTCACTGTGTTAGCCAGAATGGTCTCGATCTCCTGACCTCGTGATCTGCCCACCTTGGCCTCCCAAAGTGCTGGGATTTAAGGTGTGAGCCACCGTGCCCAGCCATTTTTTGACTTTTTAATAACAGTCCTTCTGACTGGTGTGAGATGGTATCTCATTGTGGTTTTGATTTGCATTTCTCTAATGAATAGTCAAGCTGAGCATTTTTTTTTTCATATGCTTATTGGCCGTATACATGTTTTCTTTTGGGAAGTATCTGTTCATATAAAAAGTGGTAATATTTTTTGAGAAAAAAATGAATAAATTCAGAGACAAACTCTTTTGTTGGTTAAAAGTAATATTATTGAATATATACATGCCAATGCATAAATTGAATACAATTTAATAAAATACCAGTAATACTTTTCATTGTAAAATTAATTCAAGATTATCTAGAGGAAAAAATCTATCCAAGGTGATAAAACTTTCCTAGAAGGATTAAAAAGTCTCCATTTTGAGGACTATTTTAGATCTTCAAATTAATTTTATCTTATGTATTAGAGTGAACATTAAGAGGTGAGTAAGATCCTGGATTATATGCACAATTATGAAAAAAATCATGTTTTTAAAAGTTTTGGTGGCAAGACTAACCTACTCCAAGATGGGGTTGTTATTCCACCTAAGAACGTATCTAACCTCATTCATTTTGCTTCCTTTCTCTATTTTCCTTTGTGCAGCTCTCTTTATCATTGTTTTCTTTTTGTGGTTATATGGATTTGTAGACTGTGCATTTATATGGACTGCCATGCGAGCTGTCACAGCCCAGGCAGTGGAGTGTGGTTGGCTTGTGGGTAGTAAGAAGAATTTACCAACAACTGTATAGATTTGGAAAGGAAAGCTGTATTAGATGGAAAGAATGCTGCAGAGGAGTGCAGCAGGGCTCCTCAGCAAGAGAGGACTGAGTACGCCACTGCACTAGATTTTTCCTTAGGGTATTTATGGACCTTAAAGTGGGAGCTTAAGGGTAATTTTTACCATATTAGCCACATAGGTCATGGTAAACAATTACATTTATAGACATTTTGGTGCCTTGATGTCAGCAAGGGTTGCACAATGAGTTTAGAATACATGCATTCCAGAGATGCATAGAAATTCTGGTTACTCACAAATTTTTGGAAAAGAAATCTCATACCAGATGCCAGCTTTACATAATAGGGATGTCTAATTACTTCTGAATTCCTTAGATAAGGAGTTCTGCCTCTAGATGGTCTTGCTCTCCTCGTGGACTAGTATCTCTCTGTCTCTTCACCTTTTTTTTTTTTTTTAAGTCATACGACTATCTTTCCATTTATGTCTCTGCTAGTCTTTCTTTTCCCTTTTCTCTTGATTTTTATTTTGATTATTGTAACTTTTTCTGTACTTCTCTCTCTCTCCTTTCTTCTTTCTTTCCTTTTTCTACTCTTACACTTTGTTTTTGAACTGTGAAATAAATTAGAACAAATATATTTGGTGCTAAATTATGTTTATTACCCCCAAATCTGTGTTCTTATTTCACTTGTAAAGTGACCCATAAACTCAGTGTTTTCTTTAAAGCAAAAGATTAAAATAATTTTAAAATAAAATAAAATTAATTTGCATTTATTTTTTCTGACTCAATTAATTTTTAAAATTAATAATCTTTAATGGAAAAATGTTTTTCATCCTTGTTTTAGTTGAGCAGAGTGAAAGGGAACAAATTACAAATACCAAGATCATGACACATCTTTTCATGCTATGTAGGAGGTCACCTTCCCTTTAGCAATTGTTCTATCCTATACCAAGAAACTATTTTCTCTAAGAAGAATTACGCAACAGTATTCACGAGCTTTTCAATATTTCCTTTGCTAATGTCCTTATCACCGTCAACATCCTACAACTGAGGAAGGTGCTTATCTTGCATGCAAAATTTAAAGGCGTGCCCAAAAACTCAATAGTAGAGATAAACATTTTAATCAATATTTTGAGAAATCAAAATTAATTTTAAAATTTGTGATAAACAAAGTACCAAATTTTAAGCAAAGTCAGGATCAGCAACTGCCATGTTGAGCCACGTTGGAACCTGAGGCAACAGGAAAAATAAATAATATTGGTGAAGTCTTTTTTAAAAATTATACTTTAAGTTCTGGGATACATGTGTAGAATATGCAGGTTTGTTACATAGGTAAATATGTGCCATGGTGGTTTGCTGCACCCATCAACCTGTCACCTACACTAGGTATTTCTCCTAATGCTATCCTTCCCCTAGCCCCCCACCCTGTGACAGGCCCCCGTGTGGGATGTTCCCCTCCCTGTGTCCCTGTGTTCTCATTGTTCAACTCCCACTTAAGAGTGAGAACATGTGGTGTTTGGTTTTCTGTTCCTGTGTTAGTTTGCTGAGAATGATGGTTTCTAGCTTCATCCATGTCCCTGCAAATGACATGAACTCATCCTTTTTTATGGCTGCATAGTATTCCATAATGTATATGTGACCAATTTTCTTTATCCAGTCTATGATTGATGGGCATTTGGGTTGGTTCCAAGTCTTTGCTATTGTGAACAGTGCCTCAGTAAACATACATGTGCATGTGTCTTTATAGTAGAATGATATATAATTCTTTGGGTATATACCCAGTAATGGGATTGCTGGGTCAAATGGTATTTCTGGTTCTACACCCTTGAGGAATCGCTACACTGTCTTCCACAATGGTTGAACTAATTTACCCTCCGCCAATAGTGTAAAAGGGTTCCTATTTCTCCACATCCTCTCCAGCATCTGTTGTTTCCTGACCTTTTAATGATCACCATTCTAACTGGCATGAGATGGTATCTCATTGTGGTTTTGATTTGCATTTCTCTAATGACCAGTGATGATGAGCTTTTTTTTCATATGTTTGTTGGCTGCATAAATGTCTTCTTTTGAGAAGTGTCTGTTCATATCCTTTGTTCACTTTTTGATGGGGTTGTTTTTTTCTTGTAAATTTGTTTAAGTTCCCTGTAGATTCTAGATATTAGCCCTTTGTCAGATGGATAGATTGCAAAAATTTCCTCTCATTCTGTAGGTTGACTGTCCACTCTGATGAGAGGTTTTTTTTTTTTTTTCTGTGCAGAAGCTCTTTGGTTTAATTAGATCCCATTTGTCAATTTTGGCTTTTGTTGCCATTGGTTTTGGTGTTTTAGTCATGAAGTCTTTGCCCATGCCTATGTCCTGAGTGGTATTGCCTAGGTTTTCTTCTAGGATTTTTATGGTTTTAGGTTTTCCGTTTAAGCCTTTAATCCATCTTGAGTTAATTTTGTATAAGGTGTAAGGAAGGGGTTCAGTTTCAGTTTTCTGCATATGTCTAGCCAGTTTTCACAACATCATTTATTAAATAGGGAATCCTTTTCCCATTGCTTGCTTTTGTCAGGCTTGTTAAAGATCAGATGGTTGTAGATGTGTGGCATTATTTCTAAGGTCTCTTTTCTGTTCCATTGGTCTATATATCTGTTTTGGTACCAGCACCATGCTGTTTTGGTTACTGCGGCCTTGTAGTATAGTTTGAAGTCAGGTAGTGTGATGCCTCCAGATTTGTTCTTTTTGCTTAGGATTGTCTTGGCTATACAGGCTCTTTTTTGGTTCCATATGAAATTTAAAGTTGTTTTTTCTAATTCTGTGAAGAAAGTCAATGGTAGCTTGATGGGGATAGCATTGAATCTGTAAATTACTTTGGGCAGTATGGCCATTTTCATGATATTGATTCTTCCTATCCATGAGCACAGAACGTTTTTCCATTTGTTTGTGTCCTCTCTTTTTCCTTGAGCAGTGGTTTGTAATTCTCCTTGAAGAGGTCCTTCATATCCCTTGTTAGTTGTATTCCTAGGTATTTTATTCTCTTTGTAGCAATTGTGAATGGGAGTTCACTCATGATTTGGCTGTTTATCTATTAATGGTGTATAGGAATGTTTGTAATTTTTGCACATTGATTTTGTATCCCGAGACTTTGCTGAAGTTGCTTATCAGCTTAAGGAGATTTTGGGCTAAGATGATGGGGTTTTCTAAATATACAATCATGTCATCTGCAAACTTTGACAATTTACCTCCCTCTCTTCCTATTTGAATACGCTTTATTTCTTTCTCTTCCCTGATTGCCCTGGCCAGAAATTCCAATGTTGTGTTGAAATAAGAATGGTGAGAAAGGGCATCCTTGTCTTGTGCTGGTTTTCAAACAGAATGCTTCCAGCTTTTGCCCATTCGGTATGATATTGGCTGTGGGTGTGTCATAAATAGCTCTTATTATTTTCAGATACGTTCCATCAATACCTAGTTTATTTAGAGTTTTTAGCATGAAGGGGTGAATTTTATTGAAGGCCTTTTCTGCATCTATTGAGATAATCATGTGATGTTTGTCATTGGTTCTGTTTATGTGACGGATTATGTTTACTGATTGGGTATGTTGAACCAGCCTTGCATCCCAGGGATGAAGCCAACTTGATCATGGTGGATAAGCTTTTTGATGTGCTGCTGCAATCGGTTTGCCAGTATTTTATTGAGGATTTTTGCAGTGGTGTTCATCAGGGATATTGGCCTGAAATTTTCTTTTTTATGTGTGTCTCTGCCAGGTTTTGGCATCAGGATGATGCTGGCCTCATAAAATGAGTTAGGGAGGAGTCCCTCTTTTTCTATTGTTTGTAATAGTTTCTGAAGGAATGGTACCAGCTCCTCTTTGTACCTCCGGTAGCATTTGGAAGGCAAGCTGATTAGCAACCTTAAATCCATCTACAAAGTCCCTTTTGGCAATTCAGGTAACATATTCACATTATAATATTGTAA
This sequence comes from Homo sapiens, assembly GCF_000001405.40. Taxonomy (NCBI): domain Eukaryota; kingdom Metazoa; phylum Chordata; class Mammalia; order Primates; family Hominidae; genus Homo; species Homo sapiens. Next base: position 14,563,256 of record NC_000018.10, read on the forward strand.
GGTCTTATATATACTTGGTCTATATATAATTCATTGTTCTCAAGTCCCTTACATTGTCAGTTGTTTTTTGTGCTTCTCCAATATTACTTAGATATTACAGTTTTATAATTTGTTTGCAGATTTGATCTTCAACAAAGCTGACACTGGGGAAAGGACACACTCTTCAATAAATGGTGCTGGGAAAATTGGATAGCCACATCCAGAAGAATGAAACTGGACCACTATCTCACTATATACAAGAATCAACTCAAAGTAGATTAAAAACTTAAACAGAAGACCTGAAACTATAAAAATACTTGAAGAAAACCTAGGGAAAAATTTCCTGGCCTTTTGTCTAGGCAAAGAATTTATGACTAACACCTCAAAAGCCACAAACAACACAAATAAAAATAGACAAATGGGGCTTAGTTAACTTAGAAAGCTTCTGAGCAGCAGAAGAAATAATCAGCAGAACGAAGAGACAACCTCCTGAATGGAAGAAAATATTTGCAAACTGTTCATCTAATAGTGGACTAATACCTAGAATTTACCAAAAACCCAAACAACTCAACAGGAAAAAAAATTCCACTGGAAAGTGGCCAAAGGATATAAATAGACATTTCTCAAAAGAAGACATACAAAGGGCCAAAAGATATATGAAAAAATGCTCAACATCACTAATCATTATATAAATGCAAATCAAAACCACAATGAAATATTATTTCCCCCTAGTCATAATGACTATTACTAAAAACAAAAACAAAGCAAAACAAAATATAACAGATTGAAAAAGGAACTCTTCTACACTGTTGGTGGGAATGTAAACCAGTATAGCAACTGTAGACAACATTATGGCGATTCCTCACAAAAGTAAAAATAGAATTACCATTGGAAACAGCAATTTTACTACTGGGTATTTACTCAAAGGGGAAAAAAATCAATATACCAAGGGGATACCTGCACTCGCATGTTTATTGCAGTACTTTTCACAATGCAAAGATATGAGACCAACCTAAGTGGGGGTTTGGGCTTATGAAGGTGATAGTAAAAAGACTCAGGGTTTGTGAAGTTGGTGAGGGATTTTGCAAAGCTCTTCAAACGGCATGAAGAACTGTTGACCAGTGAAGATGGCAAGGTGGACGGCTCAGCAGCCAGGGATGTGCTGGTGCGCAGGGGCAGTAGCATGATGTGCAGGTGTACCCAGCCATGTTTGGGGTACTCAGGTCCCAAGTGGTGCTTGGAAGAGGTGATGAAGCTCTGAAATAATTTCCGAGCATGATCTATTATCAAGCCAGTAACATACAAAATACAGAATATTTCATGATGATATCCTCCAATAAAAATCATGAAAAAATAAAACAGAAAACAAACCAACAAAAAATGTGGTGTATATACACAATGGAATATTATTCACAGCCATAAAAAAGAATGAAATAATGTCATTTGCAGCAACATGGATAAAACTGGTGTGAAATAAACCAGGCACAAAATGGTAACTATCCCATGTTCTCGCTTATATGCAGGAGCTAAAAAAATTTCATCACGTGGAGGTAGAAAGTGGAAAAATAGATCACAGAGACCGGGAAGAGTGAGTGGAAAGGGCAGGGGAAAGAACAAAGAGAAGTGCACTAAAGGATAAGATAGGAGGAATAAATTGAATGTTTGATAGCAGAGTAGGATAACTATACTTTAAAAAGTATTGTACTGGAGTGACGAACACCCTAAATATCCTGACTTAATCACTATGCATTACATACACGTAACAAAATTCCACACGTATCCCATAAATTTGTACGAATAAAAAAAGCTTAAGTTAGCTAAAAACCAAAACATAAAGCAAACAAACAAAATGAAATAATATTTCTAATTCTTGACTACTTTAATCTGATTTGCCTTCACACAAACTTTGAAAATTATTTTGTGAACTCAAAAATATCTCATGGTTTATTGAATTTCATTTTATAGGAGGGAAAATGTATGTGTTGAACGATGTTGCATTTTTCTCCAATACCATAATAAGTATTTAAATTTATTTGTCAACTTTTTTTTTTTTAGAATAGTATAGCTTTTGTCATTTATAAACAACACATTTCTGTTTAAGATTATTCCTATTTACTTTATATAGCCTATTGTTCATCTGAATAGGTTCTTTTTGGCTACATTTTAACATATTACATTTTAATATATTACATATTTAATATAATGTTATATAATGTTAAATATATTTATTTAACAATTAAATATATTTAAGTTCAATATATTTATTTAACAATTAAATATATTTAAGTTCAATATATTTAAGTTCAATATATTGTTGAATAATTTGTAAGAAGGTTATTGAATTTATTTTCTCATTTTGAAATTTGCCCTTGTACTGAATTATCTGGGTTTACTTTTTAAAATTCTACTTTATAAAATTATCTTAAAGTAAAATGGACCTTTTCTTTGTTCTGGTAAACAATCCATTAATTTTAGCATATATATAGATTATGTAATCAGCACCACAACCAAGATATAGAACAGGTTACTAATACCAAAAAACTCCTTCATGCTCTCTCTTTCTGAATTATTTTTATTTCTATTCTTTTTCTGTTTATTCTCTTGCCTTTTCCAGTATTACTCTAATAATAATTATACCTGTTTTCCAGGATTTATACAGTTTTCCAGGATTACTCTAATAATTACTATATATCCTTATTTCTTGTTTTACAATTGGATACATATTTTAGATTTACAGCTAGCCCTCTTTTTCTGTGGGTTCCATATTCTTGGATTCAACCAATAGCGGATCCAAAATATTAATAAAAAACAATACAAATAATACAAATTCAGAAAGTGATACAGTATAACAACTAGTTACATAGCATTTATATTGTATTAGGCATCATAAGTAATCTAAGATGATTTAAAGTATATGGGAGGATGTGTTTAGATTGTATACAAATATCATGCCATTTTAACTCAGGGATTTGAACATCCATGGATTTTGGTATCAGCGGGGGTCCTGGAACCAATCTTCTATGGATACCAAGGGACAACTAGAAAACTATTAAATCTTTATACCAGTTTTGTTAAGTTTTTAAAAAGTCGTTTCCTTTTTCTTCGTAGAAGGAAAAACATCTTAAAACTAAACTTGCTTTCTTATTTCAAAGAGTGCTAGAAATGTGGTCAGCTAGGGAAGATTTTCTTGGGGTCTATTGCCAGACCTGTGGGGAATGTAGGATGGATATGACAGTTGGGAAGAGTTCAGTCTTTGAGGTATTTGGGAAACAAGTCGTGCTTAGAGAGCAAGCCACAGATAAATGATTGACCTGCAGGTAAATATGGCAAGACCCTTGGCTTATGGTTTTGGGTTGTGAATCCACATCTGTATCTTCCTGGATAATCCATTATGAACACTTCAAAAATAATGATAATTATTATAAACATCCCTGCTATTATTTCTACTATATTTTATTAAGTACTTTCCTTGTAGTAAGCATTGAACTGAATGTTTAACGTTTATTTCTATAATTTAATTTTTACACTATTCATCTAAGGTACTCCATACTACCTCTCTTCTCTCCTCCTGGCTATGTTGGACTTTCCAACGTCCCCCTTTCTATGATTCACCTATCCCTCGAAACAGCTATCAGTATTAGTTTGTGCTAATTTTTTAATGTATTGTCAGAAACTTTAATGCATGATACTTCCTTTAATACGCAACTTCCAGTAAGCAAGTATTTGCTGGAGACAAATTGCCTTAGCCTAAAAGAATAATTTTCCAATTGTTGGATTTTGAAAACTGGGGCATAAATATGGGAATATTTCCATAACTAAAGGAGTAATTTTTGTTCCCCATATGCTCTGTAAATGACTGCTTCAATGTTTTCTTCTCCTAGGCCAGTCCCAGTTGTGCTTTTCTCCAATGAACATTGCTACATCACAGGAGTGCATTCCCACTTTAAATAGCAAAGACACACTTCACAGTTCTTGTTGCAACTCTGTGAAAAGTTGGGTCAACATTTTAATGACTCCCACTGCAAGTAGATTATAGTGTTTAATCCCTGATCTAGTCAATGTCACTGCTTTCTAAGGGGTTTTATAATAAAGACAGGAGAAAAATATACATCCGTACTCCAGGCTTCTGATGCTTACTAAAGAACTATGGTGATTTCAGTAGGCTTGCATATGTTATTAATAATAAAACACACTGATTATTTCTGAACAGCATTGTTAAATTTGGATTTTGAAACCTAGAAAATTTCTTAAATTTTGCCCAGAAAATATGCTTCAAGCTTTACATAGACCATCTAATATAATTCTCACAAGTAGAGGTCAAATCTTAGGCTACTGAGACATAAGTGAAGTCAAGAATACCGTAACTACTCTTAACTACTGGGCAATATACTCCTTTTAAGAATTCTCAAATATCATTCCATGACAAAATTTAAAAATAATTTTTTTTTTTTTTGAGATGGAGTCTAGCTCTGTCATCCAGGCTGGAGTGCAATGGCACCATCTCAGCTCACTGCAACTTCTGCCTCCCAGGTTCAAACAACTCTCCTGCCTCAGCCTCCCAAGTAGCTGGGAATACAGGCATGCGCCACCACGCCCAGCAAATTTTTTTATTTTCAGTAGAGATGGGATTTCACTATGTTGGCCAGGATGGTCTTGAACTCCTGACCTCATGATCCACCCACCTCGGCCTCTCAAAGTGCTGGGATTATAGGTGTGAGCCACTGCACCCGGCCAAAATAATTTTTCAATATTGACAAAACAATTTAAATATGTGCAAATAAATGGAGATGTAACCAGATTTTCCTCCACATGGGAAAACATGAGGTCATCTAAAGGAAAAATATTGCTGAGGGTAACATTTATTTGTATTTTTATTTTTGAGATGGAGTCTTGCTCTGTCTCCCAGGTTGGAGTGAGTGGTGTGATCTCTGCTCACTGCAATCTCCGTCTCCTGGATTCAAGCAATTCTCCTGCCTCAGCCTCCCAAGTAGCTGGGATTACAGGTGCCGGGATTACAGGTGTCCACCACCACACATGGCTAATTTTTGTATTTTTAGTAGAGACGGGGTTTCACCATTGTTGACCAGGCTGGTCTTGAACTCCTAGCCTCAAGTGATCCACCCATCTCGGCCTCCCAAAGTGCTGGGATTACAGGCATGAGCCATTCCACCCGGCCGTGAAAGTAATATTTACAATTTTGATATTTAGTGTTCAATCACAGAATGAGTTAAGGACGGAATAATAAGGTAAATTATAATTAACTGAGTACAATTCATTTCCAGTACATTTGCTTCTGCACAGCAACAATTAAAAACAAATTAAAAATTTTAAAAATGAATCAGATTTTTTCCCATTTTTATTTTTCCACTTCTAACTGGACTCTGAAAGTTGCTGCAACAGAACAATTGCTATAATCCTTCTATTCTAAAGTCAGAATGTGTAGTCAATGTAAAATTTGTGATAGTTATCCAAAAAAGAAGCCAAAATTGTTTTGGAACATTTGTTTTAGTTTTTACTGCAAATCAGATAAGACTTTTTCTTTAGACTAGAAACCATGCCACTACTTTTAACTAAAAGCAATCAGCTAATCTGCAAATTTAATCAGCCAATCAGTTAATTCAGAAAAAAGGGGGCACATAATCATAAAACTTATTTTTTCACTGAATTGATACATTGGCACTGTCAGACAGTTAAATCTATATGTGTATTGATCTACAATCTAAAATTTCAATAGTCAGAAGTCTCAGGCATTCATAATGCAAGATTTTCTTTTTTATTTATTTTCAAGAATTTTTGGAAGGATCATTGGGAATAAATTAATGGAAGAGAATGAAGAAAATAAAAGTAAAATAGTTCTTTTTTTTTTTTTTTGAGACAGGTACTCACTTAGTGCTCAAGCTGGAGTGCAGTGGCATGTTCTCGGCTCACTGCAGCCTCTGTCTCCACCTCCCAGGTTCAAAGGATTCCCCTGCCTTAGCCACCCGAGAAGCGGGTGTGGGATTACAGGTGTGTGCCACTACGCTTGGCAAATTTTTGTATTTTTAGTAGAGACAGGGTTTTGCCATGGTGGCCAGGCTGGTCTTAAACTCCTGCGCTCAAGCCATCCGCCTGCCTCAGCCTCCCACAATGTTAGATTACAGGCATGAGCCACTGTGCCTGGCCCATTTTTGACTCTCTTTCCATTTGTTCATTCTTTGAGTTTGTAACAATGATTTTATTCTTTTCTTAGCATATTAATATTGACTATAACTTAAATATTAGTATACTGATATTTTAAAATTTTTGACATTCGTCCACCATGTTTCACTGACATAATGAAATCTTTTTTAGTGTACCTTGAAAACTTTTATTGAAGAAGGAATGAAATATTGCATTTTCAAAGACGGATAAGTTAGAATACAGGATTAGATAAAATTGCATTATCTATTATAATTAAATTATTATCAAAACTAGATAAATATTCAAATATATAAAGTGAAATATTCAAATGTGTAATATAACAAGGGAATTCATGTAGTTTTACATGTGGAAAAAGCAATTTAACTAAAAAAAAGATTTAGATGCATATAGATTTATAAATGCCTGATCTAACACTATATTTTTTTACTTAATTAATTTTGGTCTCATCAAATTTTCCAGTAACCTGGACAAATTTCCAGTTACGCAGCTAAAATTTCTGTAGTCAAAGGCTTAAATTTCATTAGGTGGCTGGCAAAGTAAACACTACCTGGTCACAAAATTAGCTTTCATTTACTAGGACTAAGTTTCACTTGTTTTGTACCACACTTTTGACTGTTTGGTAAAGACATTGATATTCCGTAGGAAATAAAATTTCTAGAACTTGGGAAGCACTGTAAATGAAAAAATTAATTTTGAAAAATAATTCTGAGTTCTTAATGTATCTTTTTTGTTTGTTTTTTCTAGTTTAAAATATAGCTTTGGGTAGAATGAAGAGAATTAAATGAGGGAGATTCTCTTTTTAAAACATGTTTCTATGAAATAATAAATTACCAAAAGTGGAGAATAACTCTTGTAGGTTACAAGAATGCCTTTTGGTTATCAGTTGTCTTATGGAATTAAGAAATTAAAAATTAAATAATTTATCACCCTCATAAGATATTAAATGGATCTTCTGAAATCATTAAAGTCTTAGTTAAGTCTAGTGTTTAACAATAGTTGACTCAAAATATTCACATTTTTGTGTGTAAGAGAAACCTTTGAGAGTTCAACACTTATTTTATTTTTAGTTTTATTTACATGCCTTATTCAGTAGAGCACACAAATGTAATGTAATCTGCCTCAATAAATGTGTATTACATAACTCGTTAAGTAGTATTCAGATAGGTGTATAATTGTATGGGCATGTGATGACTACAGCTCAACGTGTACTAATGCTAGTCAAAACCAAGAGGTTAAACTTTTCAGATTATATCTGGTAGCAAATGTTAAGTGATTCCCCCCAAAAATGTTTACCCTGAGAATTTTTAGTTGGATTCTAGTAATCAATCTTTAAGCGAATGATAAGTTAATATGTGGTTGTAGAAATATCACACTTTCAAACTCTGTAATTTTGTTCCTTTTACAATTATAAAGCTGAGTCTGCAGATGAATGGAGGGGTTCAACTATTCCAGAGTATCTGAATTCATGTTACTTGGACTTACTGATTCTCCTGAACTCCAGATATTCTTTTCTGTGGTGTTTTCTGTCTTCTATTTAATGACCATGTTGGGCAACTGCCTGATTTTGCTCACTGTCCTATCCACCTCACACCTTCACTCTCGCATGTACTTCCTGCTCAGCAACATGTCTCATTGACATGTGCCTGTCCTCCTTTGCCACACCAAAGATGATTATGGACTTTTTTGCTCTGCGTAAGACCATCTCTTTTGAAGGCTGCATTTCTCAGATCTTTTTTTTACACCTCTTCAATGGGACTGAGATTGTGCTGTTGATCTCCATGTCTTTTGACAGGTATATTGCCATATGTAAACCTCTCCACTATTCAACAATTATGAGCCAAAGAGTGTGTGTTGAGCTTGTGGCAGTTTCTTGTTGGACAGTGGGCTTTCTACATACAATGAGCCAATTAGTTTTTCCCTCTATTTGCCCTTCTGTGTTCCCAATGTTGTAGACAGTTTTTTCTGTGATCTTCCTTTGGTCATCCAGTTAGCTTGTATAGATATTTATGTTCTTGGGACCTCCATGATTTCAACCAGTGGTGTGATTGCTCTTATAAGTTTTCTGCTTTTGCTCACCTCCTACATCATTGTTCTTAATATTGTCAGGGACTACTCCTCCACAGGATCCTCCAAGGCTCTTTCTACCTGTACAGCGCATTTTATTGTTGTGTTAATGTTCTTTGGGCCCTGTATTTTCATTTATGTGTGGCCTTCCACAAACTTCCTGGTAGACAAAATTCTCTCCGTTTTCTATACCATCTTCACTCCCTTTCTGAATCCACTTATCTATACTTTGAGAAACCAGGAAGTGAAGACAGCAATGAAGAAGAAACTGAATATTCAGTATTTCAGTCTTGGGAAAACTGCTCCGTGATACTTCATGCAATGAATAGCGATCTCCTTTGTGAGATATAATATCAACAGTTATGTTCTTAGAGCAATCAAAAAATTAAACTTAGAATTTACCTTTCAAATAATTTAGTTTAAATTTATGAAAAGAAGTCAGGGATAAGAAATGTGCGACATCTTGACGAAAAGTTAGCGCAGTGTTTACAAACCTTTTGAGTTATGGGTCTATTTGATAATCTGGTGAAATGTAAAGGTGATTTTCATAGAAAAATGAACATATCATCAAAATTGTGAACATAAATTCAGGACTTCATAGACCTCTGGATCCTACAAACATACCTCGGATTAAGACTAATTAAAGAAACCTGAGATAAAATATGAATCTCTTGTTTTCTAATCCAGAATACTCCCATTCTGTACAGCCTTGTGGTACTCTGATGGTGTTTAGATTAATTTAGAAGTATAATTAGCAGTGCAGGACAAAACAAGTATAACACTGGAAATAGTTTTATGGGAAAATTTATACTGTGAAGAGATTCTTTTAGTTAATGTTCAACAATCTTGATTTAAGGGGTTCAGTTGTTTGAGTTCTGTGTCAACTCTGAAAATAAGAGAACAGTTCAAAGATTCAGAAATTTAACAATACAGTTTCTTAATAGGTGTTTATACCACTATCACACTTCATAATTAATATAGTAAATAATCAAATAATAATTTCTAAAGTTTAAATCATAGACAGTAAACTATTCAAATGTGACTGGCTTTCAAAATCGGGCTGAAAATTATAAGTATGATGAATTTATTTACTACCAAGACTCAATGTTTGGGAAAAATATTAGCTATTAAATTAATCATAATTTTTTCATTTCCAAAATAAATATTGCAGCATATTATTAGTCTTAGAAGAAGCTTTGTGTCTAATTTTCAACATAATATAACCTATGGAAAGAAAGGAAAAAAAGAATTTAAGAAATACATAGCATGATTCTCCCTAATTTGGTATATTATTGATCATGTTAAATAGATTTTTCATTACAAGAGAGTCTTTGGAAATCAGCCAGTCCAATTTTCTAACAGCTGACGTATTGAAGGTCCAGAGAATTCACAGGACAGATTTAAGGCTGAATCACTGTAAGGGGCAAAGACATTTCTGTAGACAAACATGGACCCTGGAATTAAATCTTGATTCTGTCATTTCCTAGTTGTATTATCCCTGGGGATTCACTTTACCTTTCCCTTTTTCATCTCTAAAAATATTGTAAAAGGTAAATTAAATATTTGTCATGACTGCTTTATGGAAAGTAATACAGAATGGGTTCTAAAAATGTCGTTTCTATTTCCCTAAAACTTCTTCCCAAAATACATCTTATATTAAAGTAGTATGCCTTTGAAGAATAACTTCTTTCAAAAAAAGTCACTAGCAGGTTAAATTCGATATTCTAGTTTTAGCATGTCTCTAAGACTGCAGCTTGTTAAGACATATGACAGAAAAACGAATAGAACGTTTTCCAGTTTTTCATTACTAATATGGTTGGGGTGACAAAACTAGGTTAGATTGCATGGTATTTTGATATGCTGATAAAAATGTGTCTACTTAAAATGACTGACGTACATAAAAAGAGTTCCAGAAGCAATCAGTCATCATAGATTTGAACAGCGAGTAGCATAAGAAAAACACGACTTTGCCTTGCAAAGAAAGAAATGGCATTAATAGTTTTGCCACTTAAAAGTCCAAGATAATTGTAAAACATGCTTCAACACAACCTCCAATCCAAATATTTAACATTAAATAATGTGCAGAAGCTTATGAAGAAATGTAGTGTTGGAGCTAGATAGAAAACCACATTTTAAATTTGAAACACTAGTTCATTTTAACAAATTATAGACATAAAGTCCTTGCCCATGCCTATGTCCTGAATGGTGATGCCTAGGTTTTCTTCTAGGGTTTTTATGGTTTTAGGTATAACGTTTAAGTCTTTAATCCATCTTGAATTGATTTTTGTATAAGGTGTAAGGAAGGGATCCAGTTTCAGCTTTCTACATATGGCTAGCCAGTTTTCCCAGCACCATTTATTAAATAGGGAATCCTTTCCTCATTGCTTATTTTTCTCAGGTTTGTCAAAGATCAGATAGTTGTAGATATGCGGCGTTATTTCTGAGGGCTGTGTTCTGTTCCATTGATCTATATCTCTGTTTTGGTACCCCTACCATGCTGTTTTGGTGACTGTAGCCTTGTAGTATAGTTTGAAGTCAGGTAGCATGATGCCTCCAGCTTTGTTCTTTTGGCTTAGGATTGACTGGGCGATGCGGGCTCTTTTTTGGTTCCATATGAACTTTAAAGTAGTTTTTTCCAATTCTGTGAAGAAAGTCATTGGTAGCTTGATGGGGATGGCATTGAATCTATAAATTACCTTGGGCAGTATGGCCATTTTCACGATATTGATTCTTCCTACCCATGAGCATGGAATGTTCTTCCATTTGTTTGTATCCTCTTTTATTTCCTTGAGCAGTGGTTTGTAGTTCTCCTTGAAGAGGTCCTTCACGTCCCTTGTAAGTTGGATTCCCAGATATTTTATTCTCTTTGAAGCGATTGTGAATGGGAGTTCACTCATGATTTGGCTGTTTGTCTGTTATTGGTGTATAAGAATGCTTGTGAATTTTGTACATTGATTTTGTATCCTGAGACTTTACTGAAGTTGCTTATCAGCTTAAGGAGATTTTGTTCTGAGACAATGGGGTTTTCTAGATATACAATCATGTATCTGCAAACAGGGACAACTTGACTTCCTCTTTTCCTAATTGAATACCCTTTATTTCCTTCTCCTGCCTAATTCAGGGCAGGCCGGAATTTCCAACACTATGTTGAATAGGAGTGGTAAGAGAGGGCATCCCTGTCTTGTGCCAGTTTTCAAAGGGAATGCTTCCTGTTTTTGCCCATTCAGTATGATATTGGCTGTGGGTTTGTCATAGATAGCTCTTATTATTTTGAGATACAGCCCATCAATACCTAATTTATTGAGAGTTTTTAGCATGAAGCATTGTTGAATTTTGTCAAAGGCCTTTTCTGCATCTATTGAAATAATCATGTGGTTTTTGTCTTTGGTTCTGTTTATATGCTGGATTATATTTATTGATTTGTGTATATTGAACCAGCCTTGCATCCCAGGGATGAAGCCCACTTGATCATGGTGGATAAGCTGTTTGATGTGCTGCTGGATTCGTTTTGCCAGTATTTTATTGAGGATTTTTGCATCAATGTTCATCAAGGATATTGATCTAAAATTCCCTTTTTTGGATGTGTCTCTGCCAGACTTTGGTATCAGGATGATGCTGGCCTCATAAAATGAGTTAGGGAGGATTCCCTCTTTTTCTATTGATTGGAATAGTTTGAGAAGGAATGGTACCAGTTCCTCCTTGTACCTCTGGTAGAATTCGGCTGTGAATCCATCTGGTCCTGGACTCTTTTTGGTTGGTAAGCTATTGATTATTGCCACAATTTCAGAGCCTGTTATTGGTCTATTCAGAGATTCAACGTCTTCCTGGTTTAGTCTTGGGGGGGTGTATGTGTTGAGGAATTTATCCATTTATTCTAGATTTTCTAGTTTATTTGCGTAGAGGTGTTTGTAGTAGTCTCTGATGGTAGTTTGTATTTCTGTGGGATCGGTGGTGATATCCCCTTCATCATTTTGTATTGCATCTATTTGATTCTTCTCTCTTTTCTTATTAGTCTTGCTAGTGGTCTATCAATTTTGTTGATCCTTCAAAAAACCAGCTCCTGGATTCATTAATTTTTTGAAGGGCTTTTTGTGTCTCTATTTCCTTCAGTTCTGCTCTGATTTTAGTTATTTCTTGCCTTCTGCTAGCTTTTGAATGTATTTGCTCTTGCTTTTCTAATTCTTTTAATTGTGATGTTAGGGTGTCAATTTTGGATCTTTCCTGCTTTCTCTTGTGGGCATTTAGTACTATAAATTTCCCTCTACACACTGCTTTGAATGTGTCCCAGAGATTCTGGTATGTTGTGTCTCTGTTCTCGTTGGTTTCTGGGATCTAATTAAACTAAAGAGCTTCTGCACAGCAAAAGAAACTACCATCAGAGTGAACAGGCAACCTACAAAATGGAGAAAATTTTTGCATCTGACAAAGGACTAATATCCAGAATCTACAATGAACTCAAACAAATTTACAAGAAAAAAACAAACAACCCCATCAAAAAGTGGGCGAAGGACATGAACAGACACTTCTCAAAAGAAGACATTTATGCAGCCAAAAAACACATGAAAAAATGCTCACCATTACTGGCCATCAGAGAAATGCAAATCAAAACCACAATGAGATACCAGGTCACACCAGTTAGAATGGTGATCATTAAAAAGTCAGGAAACAACAGATGCTGGAGAGGATGTGGAGAAATAGGAACACTTTTACACTGTTGGTGGGACTGTAAACTAGTTCAACCATTGTGGAAGTCAGTGTGGCGATTCCTCAGGGATATAGAACTAGAAATAGCATTTGACCCAGCCATCCCATTACTGGGTATATACCCAAAGGACTATAAATCATGCTGCTATAAAGACACATGCACACATATGTTTATTGCGGCACTATTCACAATAGCAAAGACTTGGAACCAACCCAAATGTCCAACAACGATAGACTGGATTAAGAAAATGTGGCACATATACACCATGGAATACTATGCAGCCATAAAAAATGATGAGTTCATGTCCTTTGTAGGGACATGGATGAAATTGGAAACCATCATTCTCAGTAAACTATCACAAGAACAAAAAACCAAACACCGCATATTCTCACTCATAGGTGGGAACTGAACGATGAGAACACATGGACACAGGAAGGGGAACATCACACTCTGGGGACTGTGGTGGGGGAGGGGGGAGGGATAGCATTAGGAGATATACCTAATGCTAAATGAGGAGTTAATGGGTGCAGCACACCAGTATGGCACATGTATACATATGTAACAAACCTGCACACTGTGCACATGTACCCTAAAACTTAAAGTATAATAATAATAAAATTTAAAAAAAACAAACAAATTATAAACTCTTCCTTATGTCAGCTAAGCAAATAAAAAAAAAAGGTTAAGGTGGAAATGTACTTTTACCTCATTTTGACTTTTCTGCCAAAATTCTCATCTTTGTTTTTGAATATTAATCTCTGCTCCTGAAATGTCAATCTTTACTTCAATAATTATTTGTTGGACATGTACTCTGTTTCAGGCCCTCACTGGGTGCCGGAGATCCACTAGAATACAAGATCTGTTTCTGTGTCTTTGAGGGACATGTATCCAGCAATTAGTTACATCAGTCCCTTGTAGATGTCAATTCCAGTGTCACAAATTTCTTGTTTTGCAACGTTGAGCAAGTTTTTTTCAATGTTTCTAAGCCTCAGTTTTTTTACCTACAAAATGTAATAATATTTAACCATTAGTAATGTTGTGAAAATTAAGCAAAAATACATGTAATATATTTAACAATGCTTGGTGTTCATTAATGCTTTAATATATACTAACTACTTATATTATTGTTGCTGTTGTGTTAAACATGCATAAGACAGCAGGTACTAGAATGGAAATAAGGGTTCTTACTTGAAATTAAATGGCAGAATTTCATACTGTAATAGGATGTATCAATTTACCTAGTATTAATTAGTGTTAAAATACTGGATTTTTGTCAATTATTATTAGTCTTTGATGCATTTCTGTAGCTAGCATTGTCTTTTGTATGTGTTGGCCTTTGCATATTTTTCCAAAGAAGTATTATATACTTTTGGGGTTTCTTATTTTGAATTGAAGAATATGCTAAGATTGCATAAAAGGAAAAATAATAAATACACTATGTTCAATAGGTCAATGTCTTGTTTTTTGTTTTTTGTTTTTTTTTCACAGCAATGATTTTAAATAAAATAAACATAGTTTAAAAGTCTGAAGTATTTTGTCCTTCATCTCTTACCTATTCAAAAGATAGTAATGGAAATGCTGTCTTCTATAAATTAACTGAGAAGTAAATGACTTAATAGTTATCTATTGAATTTTTTAAAAACACGTTAATAAACAAGGCAGACTTTGTCCAGACTTATAAAAATATAACAAATTGTTTATTTTGAGACATAGTAGAATGTACTGTTCAGGAAATTGTTAAAAATAGAACCATAAAATTAAAGCATGAAGTAAGACATTTCATCTAATAAAAGCCCTAAAGCTGGAGAATAAATAACCTCTACCGGGGAATTTCTGGTAGAAGAGCTCATCTGGGGGGAATCAGCTAAGCCCTGAACTGTGCCCTCAAAGCCTTACTCATGGAGCCTACTTAAAATTTCTGGATAAATACAGCACGTCAGATTAGCCATTCTTCAACTTGTTCCACGTGCCAGTATCTGAATATGGCTCTCACATTTGCAGTACCCTTGACTCCTCCTCAGACTGCAGTTTAGGTGACTCACTTTAGAGGCCTTGTCACCAAAGAAGGAAGATGAATCAGAGGTACAAAGAGAAGAAATTGGAGGTAGAATGAGAGGAAAAATGGATGCATTCAAATAAATAGTTAGCTATTAATAAATTCACAATTTTGATTCCCCTTTTTTCTCATCCACTACTCCATACAATCCACTAAATAGTCCTCTTATTTTAAAAATATATATTGACTTAATTTATGTCTCTTCATCTCTGCTGCCATCTCCCTAGACAAGGCAGTTGTCTAGGCTACTAAGACAATGGCTAGCCAGTTATCCCAACACCATTTATTGAATGGAGAATTCATTTTCCATTGCTTGTTTTTGTCAGGTTTGTCAAATATCAGATAGTGGTAGGTGTGTGGTCTTATTTCTGGGTTCTCTATTCTGTTTCTTAGTCTATGTGTCTATTTTTGTGCCAGTACCAAACTGTTTTGGTTACTGTAGCCCTGTAACATAGTTTGAATTCAGGGAGCATGATGCCTTCATCTTTGTTAGTTTTGCTTAGGATTGCCTTGATTATTCAGTCTCTTTTATGGTTCTATATGAATTTTAAAATAGTTTTCTCTAGTTCTGTGAAAAATGTCAATGGTAGTTTGATGGAAATGGCACTGTATCTATAAATTGCGTTGGGCAGTATGGCCCTTTTAACGATATTGATTCTTCCTATCCATGAGCATGGAGTATTTTTCCATTTGTTTGTGTCATCTCTGGTTTCTTTGAGCAGTGTTTTGTAGTTCTCCTTGTAAAAATATTTCACCTCCCTAGTTAGCTTTATTCCTAGGTATTTTATTCTTTTTGTGACAATTGAGAATGGAATTTCATTCCTGATTTGGCTCTCAGCCTGACTGTTGTTCATGTATAGGAATACTAGTGATTTCTGAACATTGATTTTGTATCCCAAGACTTTGCTAAAGTCGTTTATCAGCTTAAGAATCTTTTGGGCTGAGATTATGAGGTTTTTCAGATACAGGATCATGTCATCTGCAAATAGGGATAGTTTGACTTCCTCTCTTCCTATCTGAATGCCCTGTATTTCTTTCTCTTGCCTAATTGCCCTGGCCAGAACTTCCAATATTATGTTGAATAGGAGTGGTGAGAGAGGGCATCCTTGTCTTGTGCCAGTTTTCAAGTGGAATGCTTCCAGCTTTTGCCAACTCAGTATAATGTTGGCTGTGGGTTTGTCATATATGGCTCAATATTTTGAGGTATGTTCCTTCAAAGTCTAGTCTGTGGAGTGTTTTTATCATGAAGGAATGCTGACTTTTATTGAAAGCCTTTTCTACATCTATTGAGATAATCATGTGGTTTTTGTTTTTAGTTTTGTTTATGGAACATTACTATTTTAAAATTGGTTTAGCTATTAGATTCTCACTAGATCTTATTCAGTGTGTTCAGAAAGCACTTGTATTACTATATCACCATTGAAAAAATATTTGAATACTACAGTTTAGTGTAATTGATTTTCTTTGTGTTCTTATATTCTTAAGTTTAATTTATTTTTAATTGACAATAATTCTACATATTTATGTGGTACATAGTGATGTGATACATATAATATGTAGAGATCAGATCAGGGTAGTTAGCATACCCATCATTTCAAATATTTATCATTTTTTGTTGGGAATAGTTGATATCTTTTCTTCTAGCTATTTGAAAATATAAAAAATATTATTTTTGGCTATAGTCATCCTACAGTGCTATAAAACATAAGAACTTATGTCTCTAATCTAGCTGTGATTTTGTGTCCTTTAACAAATGTCTCTTTTCTCCTTTTTTCTCTACATTTTTCAGCCTCTAGTAATCTCTATTCTGCTTTTTCCTTCTGTAAGATCAAGTTTTTTTTTTTGTTTTTTTTTTTTTTGGTTTTTTTTGAGACGGAATCTCGCCCTGTTGCGTAGGCTGGAGTGCAATAGCACGATCTCTGCTCACTGCAACCTCTGCCTCCGGGGTTCAAGCGATTCTCCTGCCTCAGCCTCCCGGAATAGCTGGGAACGCAGGCACCCGCAACCATGCCCGGCTAATTTTTGTATTTTTAGTAGAGACAGAGTTTCGCCACGTCGGCCAGGCTGGTCTCAAACTCCTGACAGGGGATCCGCCTGCTTCGGCCTCCCAAAGTGCTGGGATTACAGGCGTGAGCCACCGCACCTGGCCAAGATTAACTTTTTAAAATTTCCACATAAGAATGAGAACATGTGATGAACAGCTTTTTGTTCCTGCTTTATTTCACTTAACATAATGTACCCCAGTCTCATACATGTTGTTGCAAATAACATGATTGTTATTTTTATAGCTGAGTAATATTCCATTGTATATTTGTACTGCATTAAAAAAATCTCTTCATCTGCTCTCAGACACGGGTTGATTTCATGTCTTGGTTATTGTGAATAGTGCTGCAATAAATATGAGGCTACAAATGTCTCTTTGATATACTGATTTTCTTTCCTTTGGATAAATGCCCAGTAGTGGGATAGATGGATCATATGTAGTTCTATTTGTAGTTTTTTTGTTTTCTTTTGGTTTGGTTTTTAAAGGAAACTCTGTATTGTTCTTCATAGTGGCTGTGCCAGTTTATTTTCCCACCAATAGTGTATAAGAGATCTTTTTCTGGCTCACGCCTGTAATCCCAGCACTTTGGGAGGCCGAGACAGGCGGATCATGAGGTCAGGAGATTGAGACCATCCTGGCTAACATGGTGAAACCCTGTCTCTACTAAAAATACAAAAACTTAGCCGGGCATGGTGGCGGGTGCTTGCAGTCCCAGCTGCTGGGGAGGCTGAGGCAGGAGAGTGGCGTGAACCCCGGAGGCAGAGCTTGCAGTGAGCCGAGATGGCGCCACTGTACTCCAGCCTAGGCGACAGAGCAAGATGCCGTCTCAAAAAAAAAAAAAAAAAGAGTTCTCTTTTCTCCACATCCTCACCAGAATTTATTATTTTGTCTTTTTGATAATAGCCATCCTAACTGGGGTGAGACAGCCTATCACTGTGGTTTTGATTTGCACTTTCCTGATGATAAGTGATGTTGAGCATTTTTTCCACATATTTATTGGCCATTTGTAATTCCCTGTATATTTTACCTTATGTGTACAAGATATTATTCTGAGAAGGGTCCAGACTTCACCAAACTTCCAAAGGGATATATGATGTATTTGTATATGCACACACACACACACACACAAACACACACACAGAGCTAAGAATCCCTGGAGTGGGGATCAAGAGCACCGTAATTGAAACTGGATTGCCTGATTTGAATCTAGCTTTTCACCATTTTCCAGGTTTGTGGCTTGGGGAATGTTAATTAGCTTCTCTATTCTAATTTTCTCATCATCTTGTAAGCAGAGTTTGTAAGTTACCAGGCTGCAAGCCATAACTGTCCTCTATTCCCAACGTGTTTCGTGTTCCCTCAAAGATTTATAAAGAAATCAAGTTAATTACCAAAATTAGATAGTGGAAAATTTCACAAATAAATACAGATTTATTTATTTTCATGAAAAATGAAGCAAACAAATATAAGCCCGGCAATATTTGGCCAGAATTCCAAGTTGGAGCTCAGCTTTTAGATCGAATTATAACCAGAGACCTCGTCTCTCTGTTTTGTTTGCACCAGGCCACTCCATTCATGTATATTACACCAGCAGTTCTGCCTACATGAATAGAGCAGCCTCGTGCAAAACAGAACCTGCCCTTTCTACCACCATGCCTACAACTTTTTTTGCATTTCTAACTCTCACTTTACTGTAATCCACCCTTGTTCCTAGCCTTTCATGCCTTACTCTCAACAAACATTAGCATTTGTTGAATCACCAGGAATATAATGTTTTTACAAATTATTCCTATATGAGACTTTAGGTCAAGCAGGATCATAGAATCTGTTATACTTTTATCCTCTTCTTGTTTTATACCTCTCTTCCTTGTATCCTGATTCGTTTTCTGTTTGTACTCTAGCAGAAATCTGTTTTCAGTCATTGGCATTTCATTATACACTGAAGAGCTATGCTAGCTCTTCCAAGGATATGTCTAATTATAAGAGGATAGGATTTTTCTCTAGGTGAAGTATCTCAGAATTAGTAGGGAGGAGATGACTGTCGTAAGTTGAATTTTCTGCCTTTTAGGCTACTCTCAGTAAAGATAATCCAAGAAATGTTTTTTGGCCCTTTTTACATATCAGAATCTGTGAGATGTACTGAGGAAACAGAAATGATAACATAACTTTCCTATCCTTGAAGAGATTATATTCTAACAAGAGGAAAGATAATTGCCATGGTGTAAATTTGCATGTAGTGATATGGGAACCTAGGAAAAGGCAAGTCTAAATGTCCCTGGCAAAGTCAGAGTAAGCTTGGAGATCAGATGTAGTGCTGAATTTGAGATCTGAATGACAGGTTGGAGTAAAATAAGCCAGGAAGGGAACAGCATGGACAAAGGCAGAGGAGCATAAAATGCCCAATGAATTCAGGACCTACATTTGGTTTACTATTTCTGGAGCACACGATATTAAGTTAGTAGTAGCGGAAAGAGAATCTGTGCTGATAGGAGGTGGTCAGAGCCTTGGATGCTACTATAATAAAGACATTAGGCATATTGTAGAGGTAATGGGGAAGCACTGATTAAGTGGGGGCAGACTATCAGCAGCTGCTTAACTTTTATCCAGTTTCTGCTGTGAGAACTTTTTACAGACTTCTCGGGTGATTTGCTTAGGATGTTTTATCTTATTTTTCCCTGTAGTGGATAAAAGGATGCTAAACATACAGTCTGCACTTGAAGACTATATTGGAGCTACAGAAAAAAAGTTATCCTTGTTCTTTTTGTCTCTTTCCACCCCTCCTGTATAACTTTGAATTTGCTTGTTTTGACCAACATACTGAGACTTGGCTTATGTGGAGTTATGTGGACTATTAGCCTAAGTAATTTCCAGACCGAAATCTCTCTTTTCCCTCTTATTACCTTCTTTCCTCAATGCCTTATGTCTTGAAGCAACTTCTCAGGGTCTTTCTACCTCCCATACTCTGAAATGACCTTATTGGTTTATGGAAATCTGTTCCTCTGCATTGCAATTCTTGCATTTTCACTGATGTGGCAGTTGGTGGAAGCCTAGACCTTAAGATGATAGAACACCTGGAGGGGAGCAGGAAGGATTGCCGAAGAGATCTAGATATCCCTCATGAGGGAGGCACTGCTCAGCACTTGTTTTTCCAGGTGTGAAGTATTCTGACTTGATACTAATTTTGACAATTTTCATCCACTATTGATGAATATCATATATTTATTTATTCTCAAATATTTATTACTGAAAGTTTATAATGTGATGGGCATTATTTTATGGATTACAGAAAAAATAGCAGTGAGGCTGGGAAATAGAAAGCAACAAATTACTACAGTGTAGGATTCTGCCTACCTCCACAGCCCTATTTTGCATTTTTCTCCTCCTTGAACACTAACTTCCCTTGTCTTCTAGCGTGCCAGGCTCCACTGCTGTTGGGGCCTTTTCCAAATGCCATATATCTAACATAATGATATCCATTTGCTCAACCTGCCCATGTCCTATACATGTACCCTCAGGACTAAACCTTGATGGAATTTCTCCAAGAAGTCTTCCAATGACCACAGCAACCGGGGAAGGTTCCAGCATTATATGTTCTTTCGCTATTCTATACATGTTCCTAATAGTGCCCAGCATAATTATAATTAGAAATGATTTTGCTATTCTTTATTGAATACCTTTATATCCCCCCTCTAGACTGGAATTCCTTGAGGGTAGAGAGAAATACATCATATTTACTCTCTATTGCCAACAAGTAACAGAAGGCCTGGCATACACAGATACTCATGCACTTGTTGAAATATTAAATGAGCTGCAATGATAGAAGTATCTGCAGGTTAGTTTTGGAATATAGAGGAGGGATTGGCCAATTATCACAGGTATAAAGGAAGGTTAATTGATGTAACAGAATGTGGTGATAGTCTAGTAGAATCTTAAAATAGGATCTTAGGACAGCAGGGTTGAGGGGAGAGCATTCTAGGCAAAAGGAAGAGCATATGCAAAATGTGGAGGGTAAAACAACATGATGTGTTCTGAGAATGGAACTCATCCATCAGTTTAGAAGAAAAAGATGCTGGTTAGGAGACTGATAAGATATGAAGCTAAAGATTTAGGCATTTAGATAGACCTTAAACTACTTATAAAGGCAATTTTTTATTTACAAATGTGCATACCTTTTGAAATAAAATCTTATTACTGAAGATTTATTCTATGAATACGTCTGGATACATAAGAAATGATATATGTTCACTATTACTTATTGTGGCACTATAATAAAATAAATAGGAGAAAACTTCATTAACTATCAGTAAGATACAAATTAAATAAATTATCCATAGAGTGAAATAATATGAAATGGTAAAAATAATTAGAACTCTCTGTACTGATATTCAAAGCTTCCATACTATTAAGTAAACAAAAAAATAAGTTGAGATATGTAAAATGAATACTCACTTTAAATGATAAGAAGCAAAAAGTATTAATCTATATTTGAATCTGCTTGTATCTGGTTAAAGAAACCACAGATATGGTAATAAAAATTAAATAAAATTAATAAAGTAGATTCAGATGCGTGTATGTTTGTGCATGTGTATGCATACATGCAAGGGAAACTGGAGAGATAAGAGCAGGGATGGAAAGCACACTTTCAATTTTATATATTTTGATACTATTCTGATATTCTCTTTTTTATTATATTACCTTATTTTTATTTTAGTATTATGTCATGCATCAGTTTTATCTTCTTATCAAAGTTGATATACACCTTTCTTTATAGAATTTCTTATCAATATCTTTTTTATTTAAGCAGTTACATTTTTAATTATGAACATGACAATTTCAGCAAAAATAATGTACCAACTTTGTGCCAATAGTAGTGGAGGATGCAAAGGAAGGCAAAATCTAGTGGTCTGGAGAATCTTCCAATTTAGTCAGGAAGACATGCAGCACATAACTAGGTGTATGTTTAAGTATTTTACCATAGATCTACAACATTCATGACATAATCTCAGCTACACAGGGCAATAGGAACACCTTAAGTATTGTCAGGTAAACTAAGAAAATGTAAGTGATATTTTAGCAGTCAGTTATGCTCACTACCTGGGTGATGAGATCATTTATACCTCAAACTTCAGCATCATGCAATATACCCATGAAACAAACCTGTACATGTACCCTCTCAATATAACGTAAAAGTTGAAATTTTTTGTACATATTATGGGGTACATGTGATGTTTTGATACAGGCATACAATGTGTAATGATCAAATCTGGGTAACTGAGGCATCTATAACCTCAAGCATTTATCATTTCTTTGTGTTAGGAGCATTCCAGTTCAACTCTTTTAGTTATTTTTAAATATACAATAAATTATTGTTAATTATAGTCACCCTATTGTGCTACCGAATACTGGACCTTATTCCTTCTGTCTAACTGTATTTTTGTATCCATTAGCCATATCGTCTTTATCTCTCCCTCCCCACTACCCTTCCCAGCCACCATTCTATTCTCTCCATGAGTTCAATTTTTTTAGCTCCCAAATATGAGTGAGAACATGTGATATTTGTGTAAGTCAGCTTAATAGCTTCTGAACAGCTTGACTAAAGAAACATACATTGTATTTTTTTCTTTTTTTTTCCTAACTAATGTTGGTGAGGATGTGGATAAAAGGGAACCTTCGTATGCTCTTGGTGGGAATGTAAACTGGTACAGCCACTATGGAGAACATTATGGAAGTTCCTTAAAAAACTAAAAATAGTACTACTATATAATCCAGTAATCTCATTCCTGGGTCTATATCCAAAAGAAAGGAAATCAGTATATTGAAGAGATATCTGCTCTCTCATGTTTATTTCAGCACTATTCACAATAGCCAAATATGGAATCAACCAAAGTGTCTATCAATGGACGAACAGATAATTAAACTGTGGTGCACATACACAGTGAAATATTTTTCAGCTATACAAATGATAAAATCCTGTTATTTGCAAAGCATGGATGGAACTGGAGGACATCATGTTAAGTGAAGTAAATCAGGCATGAAAAGACAACTATCACATGTTCTCACTCATATTTCTCACTCATATCTCAGCTAAAAAAAACTGAACTCAGAGAGAGAGAAAGTAGAATGATGGCTACTGGAGATTAGGAAGGGTAGTGGGGAGGGAGATATAAAGAGGATATGGTTAATGGGTACAAAAATACAGTTAGAAGGAATAAAGTCTAGTATTCGGTAACACAATAGGGTGACTATAGTTAACTATAATTCATTGTCTATTTAAAAATAACTGAAAGAGTTGAATATAATTTTAGAAAAACATTTTTTTCTGTATATATATATATATACACATTTCTGTATATCTGTATATATGTAGAAAATATTTTAAGCTATTAAATTTAACTAGTGCATTTAGCAATGTTGTTTGATAATGGTTAATTTTTCCCAAATTGATCCATAGATTTAATGCAATCTCAATCAAATTTCTAATAATATATTTGAGCAAATTGACAAGCTGATTCTAAAATTTATATGCAAATACAAAGAGGTAAGAATATCCAAAGAAATTCTGAAGGAAGGCATACACTACATATATCAAGACTTTCTTCAAATTTTGAAAGAAGACACAAGAAGTCTTCATATATGGTAGACTATGTCATCCTTTGAAACTTTCTTGACTATTCTTGCCTCTTTGCATTTCCAAAAACATGGAATTAACCTAGATGCCCATAAATAGTAGACTGGATGAAGAAAACAAGATACATATACACCATGGAATACAATGCAGCCATAAAAAAGAATGATATCATGTCCTTTGCAGCAACATAGATGAAGCTAAAGGCCATTATCCTAAGCAAAGACACACAGAAACAGAAACAAAAAACCAAATACCACATGTAGTCACTCATAAGTGGGAGCTAAACATTGAGTAGGAATGGACACGAAAAAGAAAACAATAGACACTGGGGCCTACTACAGAGAGAAGGGTGGCAGAAGGGGGAAAATCCAAAAACCACCTATTGAGTACTATGCTTATTACCTGGGTAACAGAGTAATCTGTATAACAAACATCTGTGACATATAATTTACCTATAAAACAAACTTGCACATATACCCCTGAAATAAAAATAAAAGTTAAACAAAAGACTATATATTGAAATCTTGTATTGGTAAAGAAAAAAGAAACATGCTAGTGAAACACATTAGAGATTCTGGGAATAAAAAGAAAGTATATAGTCACCTGATCTATGAGAAATAGGATAATGAAGAGAAGAAACAAAAATATGATGCTTGGCAATTATGCTCCTACCTTGAACAAACAACTACAAAAAAGCTTGGCTCTAAATTCACAAAATTCACAAAAATAATTCAGAATAATATATATCTCTATATAAATAAAAATAAAGCTTTCAGAAGATGATATAGGAGATATAGGAGAATGTTCTCATGACTTTTGTATATGCAAGGATTTCTTAAATACGACAAATTATTTTAAACAAAAGAAAAAATGACAAACTAGACTTCATTAAAATACATTATCAATCATCATTAAAGACATTATGAGAGTGAAAATGCAGCTCATAATTTGGAAAAGGAAATTTACTAAGCATATAAGCAGCCCCCAAGATATTCCTCCTTTTAAACTTTATATTGAAAATACTAAAAGTCTGCTTATAAATCAGTAAGAAAAAAGCAGACTAATGGATAAATGGGCAAAAACTTGATAAGCTGTTTACAAAAGGAGATATTCAAATGCTCAATAAGCATATGAAAGTTTGCTTAACTGTATTAATAATTATTCATATACATATTGAAATTTTAATGCAATATGTATTTATATACATCAGAATGGCTAAACTGAAAAAGTAATACTCTCCTAGATGTTAATTAGGATGTGGAGCAACAGAAACTCTCACAGACTATTACTGAAACATGCATTTATACAATCGTTTTGGAAAGCTGGAAGAATATACCAAAAGTGAACACACATATACTACTCTACCACACACTAATTCTACTAATTTTCTCCTAGTTGTATGTCCAACATACAATATATACTAAAAGGCATGTATGAAATATTCATAGCAGTTCTATTAGTAGCAGAACTGTAATACAAGCCATATGCCCATCAACAATAGACTAAATACTGGTATATTAATAAAATAGATTACCATACAACAACGAGAATAAAAGAACTATAATTGTACACCAAAACATAGATGTATGCTGAGCAAAAAGTCAGACAATAGTTAAAACAAACTGTATTACTTTATATAAATTCTAAAATGGCAAATGTAATCCATTTTGTTAGAAGTCAGGGGACTAATTACTCTTCAGTTAACAAAGTCAAAAACTGATAGAAAGTTTAAAAGGAAGAATAACTTAGGGGCTGGTAATGTTCTTTAGATCAATCTATTAAATAGTCATGTGGCTGAGTTCATGTGAAGGTATGGTAGTCTCCCAAAAGGTATTCATGTCTTCATTCCTGAAATTTATAAATTTTACCTTATATTTGAAAAAAGGGGTATTTGTTGTTGTGCTTAATTTATGAATCTTGAAATCTGGAGATCATCCTGGATTATCTAGCTGGGCCTAAAATTCAATCACATGTATCCGTGTAAGAGGAAGGCTAAGAGAGACCTTATACATAAAGTGGTAGATTGATATAAAGTTGGAGCAAAGAGATTTGAAGATGTGAGGGTGATGTGGCCAATAGCCAAGGAATCCTCACGGACACCAGAAGCTGGAAACGGCAAGAAACAGATTTTTCTCCAGAGTTTCTGAAAGAAGTGTGGCCCTGTTAACATCTTGATTTTGATCCAGTGATACTGATTTTGAATTTCTGTCCTCCATAACTAAGAGAAAATATGTTTCTGTTCTTATGAGCCACCCAGTGTGTAGTAATTTGTTACTATAGGAAACTAATACAATGGTGATTCATCATTCATCAAACTATACATACACTTATGATTTGTGATTTTTTATGTTTCTGTTACACCTCAGTAAAGAGTTTACTAAAAATTAAATGCGTAAAGAACAGGCTTAAGTGATGTATGAACTTCTTCAACAAATATTAATAAAGTTTTTATTCTATCCAGAATTTCTGCTAACTACTGGGAATTTAATGATGAGAAAAATGAAAAATATCCCAGTCCTAGTGGAAAAGGCAGGTTAAACAAATAGCTATAGAGTCTAAATTGCTTTGATACAGACTTAAGAGCAGGTAAGAAAAATCTGAGGCCTGAAGTATGTTAGTAGACAAAGAAGAAAAGTGAAGCTCTCCCTAGTACAGAAATCTACTTACAAAGGAAATTATCTACAAAGGATAATCAGATAACCACTGCACTGGAGAAATTAAAAGCTCAGATTATAGGAGACAGAGTAAATTACGGGGAACTAAGTATTCATCAATTTTCTTATATCTTCTTCTAGAGTGTAGAGCTGTTACTGGAAAATAGCTCCCCTTCTGGAACTACAATTCTTAGTCACCTTTCTTCTAAGCAAGGCCATATGTCCTATTCTTACCAACAAAATATCATATTCTTATCAACAAAAAGAAATAATTTGACTAACATAGTAATAATGAAGTCTGCCTTAACTCTTTAGTCCTTTGTCTGCCAAGAGGATGCAGAAGACTCTGGGATCCTAAATAAATCTTAAATCAAGAAGATGCAAGAGGAAGTGACACCAATAAGATAGCTGACTAGAAGTTCCTAACACTCAACCTCCTCCCCGGCCACCACACAAAAGGACCAAAGAAACAAATAAATAACCACATTTCAACTAAAATATATGAAAGAGAGCCCTGGAGTACAACAAGGAAATGGCAGAGACCATGTGGATCACGGAGACTCAGGATGGCCATATAAAAAAGGGAATGGAACACTCTGCCTTTACCATCTTTTCTCTCCTAGTGGGATGAGGTCAGAGCCAGGGCAGACTCTCCTTACAGAGAAAAGGTATGCAGGAGGCCCTCAGCAACACAAATTAAAATGTGGACACCCACAATCTTTGCTCCTGGAGATCACTGTAGTCCTTACAGGTCCTAGGCCCAGCCTGAGGAGTTGCCTGGAGTTCACATGTCTATGTTACTCCAAACAAGGAGCTATATTGTGTCTCATCCTGCCCTATTATCGAAGCTGCTGCAGTGTAATGACATCTTGAGACTGAAGCCACTGCTAGGGTGCCTTCTCATTTGGGGGCCAGTAGCCACTCTATCTTCCCATATCCTAGGCTTCACTGCCACTACACCACACCTACTCATGGTAGCGCACCATTCTGCAGCTGAGCAGCTACAACTTCTAACCCCATGGAAACAAACTGCCAAGAAGGCACTCCATCTTTCCATCCCAGTGACTGCGGTATCTTGGCTCCGTCTACTCAGAGCCTAGGACCAGCACAACAGCTGTAACCTTAGCACCTGAGCCCATGTGGCACCCTGTTCCCCAAGGAACAGGCACTCATGCCCAGTGATGAGGCTGTACCCAAGCTAGCATAGCAGCCTCACAAACTCCTGCAGCCTAAGACATTTTCTTATGAGGAAATCCCCCTATATGGGACTTCATGGCTGTATCTTGCTGCTCGGACTATCAGCATATTTCTCAGAATATTTCTCAACCTTGCAGGCCAGGAAATAATGGGATAATATATTCAAAGTGCTGAGAGAAAAAAATAAAACTTCTAGTCAAGAACAGTATACTCATCAAAGTTATTCTTTAAATATGAAGGAGAAGTAAAGTCTTTCCCAGACAAGCAAAAGTTGATGGAATTCATCACCACTAGAACAGCTGTACAAGAAATGCTTAAAAGACGGCTTCAAAGGATGTTAATTGCCACCATGAGGTGAAAGGATGTTAATTACTACCATGAAAGTATTTAAACTCACTGGTAGAAGTAAACTCATAATTAAATTCAGAGTGCTACATTATTGTAGTGGTGGTATACAGTATGAAGGTTAAAAGTCAAAATGGTCAACAATAACCATAGCTACAATAAGTTTTTAAGAAATAAACCATATAAAAGATGTGAATTAAGACAAAATTATAAATTGGGTTGGAGGGTAAAAGTCTAGAATATTTGCAGGCAATCAAAGTTAAATTGTTATTAGCTTAAAATAAACCTTTAGAACTATAAGATTTGTTATGTAAGCCCCAGAGTAACAAAAAAGAAAAAAGTTACAGCATATATGCAAATGAAAAAGAGAATGGAATAAAACCATGAAACCACAAAAGCAAACACAAGAGAGGAAGAAAGAAACAAAGACCTACAAAATAACCAGAAAACAATGAACAAAATGGCAACAGTAAATCCATAACTATCAATAATAACCTTCAATATAAGTGTATTAAATTCTGTAATTAAAAGATGGCTGAATGCATTTTAAAAACATACAACTATATACTGCTTACAGGAGACTTACTTCACCTGTAAAGACACATATTGACTAAAAATAAAGAAGAGAAAACTATATGCCATGCAAATGGAAATCAAAAGAGAGCAAAAGTAGCTATACTTAGATCAGATAAAATAGACTTTAAGTCAAAAACTGTAAAAAGAGACAAAGATGGTCATGATATGATGAACAGGTCAATTCAGTAAGGGGATATAACAACTACAAATATATATGAATCTCAAACCAAAACACCCAGGCATATAAAGCAAATATTATTAGATGTAAAGGGAGAGATAGACTCTAATGCAATAATAATAGAGGACTTCGATATCTCACTTTTGGCAAAGGACAGATCATCTAGACAAAAATTCAGCAAAAAAAAACAACAAATATAAAGCGCACTCTAGATCATGTGGACCTACCAGATATTCACAGAACATCCCACTCAACAGTTGAAGAGTATGCATTCTCCCCATCAGCACATGGAAGTGTCTTCAGGGTAGATCAGATGTTAGGCCACAAAACAAATCTCAGCAAATCTGTAAAAATCAAAATCAAGTATCTCTTTTGACCATGATGGAATAAAACTAGAAATCACTAACAGTAAAAACTTTAGAAACCATTTAAATACATGTAAATTTAACAACATACTCCTCTATAACAAATGGATTAATGAATAAGTTAAAAAGAAAATTCAAACACTTCATGAGACAAATGAAATTGGAAACACAGTATATGAAAACTTATGGAATACAGCAAAAGCAGTTCCAAGAGGGAAGTTTACAGCAATAAACACCTACGCCATAAAAGACAAAAAGTCTCAAATAAACAGTCTAACCTCATACCTCAAGGAACTAGAACAACAAGAACAAACATAAAATTAGTAGAAAAAAGAAATAAATGAGTGGATATAAGTGGAATAGTGACTAAAACAATACAGAAATCCTTGAACAGAAACAAACCTTTAATTAGATTAACTTAGAAAAGTAGATGGAAGGTTCAAATAAAATCAGAAATAAAAAAGTATACATTACAACTGATGTAACAGCAATACAAAGGATTATAAGAGACTATTATGAACAACTACATGCCAACATATACATATACAACCTACCAAAATTGAATTATGAAAAAGTAGAAAATCTGAAGAGACCAATAGTGAGCAACAACATAGAATCTATAATAAAAAGTCTCCCATCAAAGAAAAGCTCCAGATATGATGGCTTCACTAGTGAAATCTACCAAACATTTAAAAGATGTTATCAATACTTTTCAAACTATTTCAAAGTAATTGAAGATGAGAGAATTCGTCCAAACTCATTCTACAATGCTGGCATAACTGATACAAAAACCAGTCAAGGACACAACAAAATATGAAACGACAGGACAATATCTCTGATAAAAATAGATGCAAAAATATTTAAGAAAATACTAGCAAACCAAATTCAACAGCACATTAAAAAGATCATTCACCATGATCAAATGGGATTCATTCTAGATAATACAACCTACATAATACAATAAATGTGATATAGCACATTAGCAGGATCAAGGACACAAGCTAATCTATCACTTTGATAAACAGAAAAAGTATTTGACAATATTCAACAATGCTGTTTGATTAAAACTCTCAACAAAATGTACCTCAACACAATAAAGGCCAAAAATGATAAACTACAGCTAACTGGAGAAAAGTTGAAAGCTTTTCCTCTAAGATCTGAAACAAGACACAGATGCCAATTTTCACCACTTTTATTCAACATAGTACTAAAGTTCTAGCCAGATAAATTAGGCAAGAAAAATAAATAAAAAGGATCTATTTGGAAAGAAGGAAGTCAAATTGTTTATTTCATGATTTTATACATAGATTTTATATAAAGGTTCAACCAAAAAGCTCTAAGAAGTGATAAATAAATTCAGTAAAGTTGCAGGATACAGCATCAACCAAAAATATCAGTAGCATTTCTTTTTTTTAATAACTTTTATTTTAAGTTCAGAGGTACATGTGCGGGTTTGTTACATAGGTAAACTTGGGTCATGGGAGTTTGTTGCACAAAATAATTTCATCACCCAAGTACTTATTTGTTCTATTGGCTGCAGGGTGACTATAGTTAATATTGCATATTTCGAAATAATTAGAGGAAAGGATTTTAAGAGTCCTTACCACAAACTAATGATCAATGTTTTAGATAATGAATATGCTGAATAACCTGATTCTATCATTACTGAATATATGCATGTATTGAAACATCACACTGTGCCCCATAAATATGTGCAATTATTATGTGACAATTAAAAGCAAAATAAAACTTTTCAAAAATAAAGATGGAAGAAACCTGGGTTGCTCAATCTCTGACGGGTGACCAGTCACCAACCATAACACTACTGAGCATAGGTACATGAGCAGATATATCATTTCATGTGGCTAAGTACCTAAAATTTTATGATATTTTGTTACATTAGCTAGAATTACTCACACTAATAACAAAGAGAGTGAGATATAAGCCTGGGTAGAATAATCAATTTTAGAATGATGTTGTTAAGTCTTACTAAGAAATCTCAACTTTGCTAAAAGGACAATGGAAAGATTGAGGTATTTTAGGAGGTTTAATGTTATATATTTAGACTAAGCAATTTGATTGATTACAGAAAATGTATTACAAATAAAAAAATCATAATGAGATAAGTTGATGACACCTATTGCATCAATCCAGTGTGTAATGAAGTTGGGCTAGTTGAAGATCATAGTAAAATAGAATTGAACAGACTCAGAAGTAAAGTTTATATAGATAATGCCTATTACTTGACTACATTTGACTGTAAGGGAGAAACAAAATTGGTGTAAAATTTTCTTGCTTGAGGAGCTAGCAAGACAATACACAACTCCAGGAGTTCATTCATTTAAAAAATGTCTTTATGAATTGTTACATAAGGGAAAGATAAGTTGAATATTGTCCATAATGAATTTGAAGTGTGCATATGAAAACAAGTGGAGATGCTCAGTAGGTAATTGAATATATAGAAAAATATACAGAAAAAAAAAGCATGCTATTAAAAAAAAAAGTACCTTTAACACCTTCTCACAGGAGAATGACAAAATTCCCCCTAAAACCAGAAGCCATTTATTTAGTGAAATAGCTTGGTGGGTCACATTTTTGTAAGTGTTGAGCAAGAAGCAGACCCATTACAATGGGTCAAGAAGTGTATTAGTCAAGGCCACAGAAGAAAACATAAAACCTATTTGGCAAAGGTTTTCAACATAATATGAGAATCAACTATCTATAAAAATCTTGGCAGGATTAAATGAGGCATCCTACCACCAGAACCAGCAGGAAGCTTTATTACTCTTGGCCTGGAGAGACAAGTAGAGGGTTAGAAATTGTTGAGAGCTAGAGCCATAAAGGGACCTACAAGGTATAAATACTCAAGGATAGATTACTAGAAGAATTCTAGTGAAGTGGCAGGGAGGAGAAACTGAGTAAAATCCAGACCTTTCTCTCCTTTTTCCCTCTAATCTCCTGCCAGCTCCTTTTATTCTCCAATCTCAATAAAGGCTAGAGGCAGAAAAGCCCAGATAATGTAGCCATGATAATGAGCCAACAGGGGCCTAGAATAGAAAAGGGTGGAGAATGAAACAAACAACTAAAGAAAACTTCAAGAGAAATCAATGGGAAATGATGACCTGGGGACAACCGACATGATGTAGTAGTTGATTTCAAGAATTTAGGGTATAAATGGGAAGAGATGAATTTATAGTTGGGAGGCGATGTGTTAAGAAAGTTAGATACTTAAGAGAGAAAGTTGAAGGAATTCATACTAATGGGGATGGGTTTGGTTTTACAAAGTAAGAAATGAATTTATACAGTACATATATACATATCCTAAGAGCCCATGTCAAGAAGAAAATCCAAATATCTTGTTCTAGGGTGTGAGAATGATCATCAAGACTGTTTTCTGTGCTTCCTTCCCCCTAACATTACATAGGTCCATAATGGCTAAATCTCCTTACTGTCCAACTGTACAAGAAGGGACCTAATTCTGAGTGGTCTATTTCGGTTCATTTCTATGCAAATTATCTGGCATTAAAATTCAATTTAAAAAATTAGCTCAGCTCCTATTGTGCCACCAGGATGATTTAAATTCTGTTTTTTCTTAAAAGAAAAGGAGCAGAACATCTCTAAATCTTTGCATTTCAAATATTTGGTTTCAGTTTTGGGTCTGGTTCTCAACACTGACCACTAGTATTAACATACAGTTTACTAGAGGAAACTTGTGTCAAATTTTCTATAACAATAGTCACAACAACATATAATGAAAAGAAAAAAATGTAACATCAACTAGGATGGGATGCTAGCGTCGACAGTTTATTTTTACTCCTGGTATTACAACCTATATTTTCACTGTTTTAAAAAAGATTCAAGTTCCACATGAACCTAGCGGTACACTAACAATATGACAACAACGTAGCCACTTATCTCAGTAAAACAAAAATTTTACTACTTTTGGTGGTGCCTTGCAGACTCATTTTTTTCAGAAATTGCTTATCATCTGTTTATTTATAATATTCAAGATACCCATAGGTGATATGGAATGAAATGATAGCCAATTGTATTCATTAGATTTTGCTCCATATTAAGCCACCTCAAAATTTATTGAATTAAACTAGGAACCATTTTATATTTGTTCACAAACCACATGAGTACCTTTTCTTGTCTGGGCCAAGATGTTTGATTTCTACTAGGATATCTGGTAAGTCTGGGTGAGCTGGACAATCTATACTGACCACCCTCATATGTCTGGTAGCCTCCAGGTTAGCAACATGAGCTAGTTTACTGTCAGCCAGGCCCCAAATTCTCTCCACGTGGTCTCTCATCTGCCATCAGCTGGAGCTGACTTATACCTGAATGAGAGCTTGTTTTACATTATCAGGGGTTTTGTGAGGTAGTTATTATACACTTGGTGGCTTGAAATCTGCCATAGTGGGAGTATTTGTACCATAGACATTGGAAAATACTACATATCAGAGCCTTCTCTGCCCCCTTTACCCCAAGAAACAGCTCCTAAACATTTACCAGGACATCATTGCTTCTTGTCTTCCAAAAGACTGGCTTAGGCTCAATTCCATGGTGGCCTCAGTATTCCAATAGTAACAATAGAGGGCAGTCCCAATGCAAAACTCTCTTGTGCTATTATTCCTTTCAGCAGAACAAGACACATGGCCAAGTCCAGAGTCAGTGCAGAATACCACTCATGAATTTAAAGGAACCAACGATTGATTCACAGAGTAACTGGGGTGAATCTCAAAGGCATTATGTTGAGTAAAAGAAGCCAGTGTCAATAAAAACATATGTATGACCCCATTATAACATTCTCATTTTTTAAAAAAAGAGTTTTATGGTATTTTTGAGAGGTAAAAAGTAACCACCTCGCAGCCGCTTGTACACTCATTTATTCAGTGAATCAATAATATTCTGTGGGCATCTACTATTTGCTAGGTTCTGGGCCAGGTGTTGGGGTGATGATAGTGATCCTAAGACACTCAGTTTTTCCCCACGAGTCCCACAGTCTTGGAGTGGAGATGCAGGAAGGAGAGAGAAACAAAAACATGTAAGAAAATCAAACGAGCAAATTAAAAGTTTAATGAGTGTTATGAAGGTAGTAAATAATGTGAGATGAGAAAAAACAAAGGAGTGAAGAGGGTGGAATGGTGCTCAGAAAAAGCCTCTCTCTGCTCTGTGTAATGAATAATCTTTTATTTAGTTCCAGTGAGAAGGATATACAATAGAAGAGCCGAAG
Organism: Homo sapiens; assembly: GCF_000001405.40. Taxonomy (NCBI): domain Eukaryota; kingdom Metazoa; phylum Chordata; class Mammalia; order Primates; family Hominidae; genus Homo; species Homo sapiens. The sequence goes on from NC_000018.10 coordinate 14,597,460, forward strand.
GAAACAATATTCAGGCAGACAAGAGAGAAATGGAAACTCCCTGAAGTGGAAATGGATTATGTGTTTCAGAAAATGAAAGCAGGAATTTAGTGAATGACCAATGAGTGAGAAGAGATGAAGCTGAAGGTTAATATGTAAAATACAGGATATCAAGGGCTCATTATGGAGACTGGATTATATTTCTAGAGCAATGGGGACTATGATGGTCCCTTGGTGTCTATGGGGAATTGGTTCCAAGATCCCCGCAGATACCAAAACCCATGGATGCTTCAGTCCCTGGTATAAAGTGGTGTAGCATTTGCATATAACTTATGCACATTCTCCCGTATACTTTTAAATCATCTCTAAATTACTTATAATATCTAATACAATGTCTACATATCACTTCGTTTAAGTGAATTCAATGTAGTACTTGGTGTGTTGCAAATTTCAGTTTTGATTTTGAAGATTTGTGGAATTGTTTTTTTCTAAATACTTTTGATCTGTGATTGATTGAATCCATAGACACAGAACCCATGCATACAGAGGAATGACTGCATGTTTATCATTTTAAAGTTGTTTGACTTATTTATCTTATTTTTAATGATTTATCTTATTTTTAAAGACTGCTCTGAGCATTCAGGAGAAATTGACTGGAAAAAAAATCAGTGCAGAGAGCTGGAGATTACTAGAAGCCCTTCGAAACATTTAAGGAGAAAGAAAGGGAAGGTTTAGACAAGGGAAATTGTAATAGAAAGCTTTGATGGAAGTGGGAGTGAGAAAATGGAAGGAGCGAAGTTTCTGGTTGAAGCCACTGCGGGAATACAAATGCCGTTACCTGGGTTAAGGGAGACTAAAGGAGGACTAGATTTGGAAACAGAAGAACTGAAATGCCTGTGAAAATTAAACAGAAGATGTGAAGAAGAAACGTGGTCTATCAGTCTGGGCTAACGATTGGGCTCCTTTCCTCAATTAAGCTCATCAAATTTCCTGGGCACTCACTCTGTGCCACAACATTTACTTTTGTCTTTGTCGCCTGCTCTTCTCTGTAGATTTCCTAAGTCTTTCTACAGCTCTAATGGGATATGTTTCCATAACATCCCAAAGCAAGCTATTTTTATATCTGGGCAGTTTTACCCACTTATGTCTGTTGTATGGTCAAGTACTGCGTAGTGATAATTAAAATATTGGATAATTTTGGCAAAATATTGTGTTGTATGGAATTTGAAAACCTTGACATAAAAATTTTCAAGAAAAGGAAGAAGTATAAGATTAGAGAAAACAAAATTCTAATTTTCTTAGACCCATTGCTGGATTTGCATTTCTTTGGATCTAGTTTTCTTCAGGCCCTGTGCATGTGTGCTAGTGCTTACTGGCACCGTCACTTTAGATAAGGACAAAGAAAGCATAGAGGCAGAACATTAAATGAGGGTAAATGTAGTTGCTGCAAACTTTGAGGTCACTACATTTCTGTCTCATGACATATGTTCTCATTTGCAATTATGGGCAAACAATTTAAAAGTTCTTACCATCTTGATATGGGGGAGAAGCAACCAAAATAGTGTTAATAACTACCATAGCAAGATGAATTCACTTAACGAAGTTTGTTTTTTAATTGGCTTTTGCAATTCATGAGATTGCCTATCTGAGACTTTGGGGAGTATCATGATATTTAAATAGTTCCTTTATAGGCTCCTGTGATTCCCTTTTTTAAATTATTTTTTAAAAAGTTTTGGAAACTTCTCCTCTTCACCCTTTTGTTACTTTCCTGAGATTTATCTCAAAATTGGTATGTGGAATTTAATCGCATCAAGCTTAAAAGCTACTATACATGTTGCCACTCAGAGAGATAAAGGGATTCTGGGCTAAAGTTATTACCAAATCAAGGCAACCTGGGTTTTTGAGCATGAGGACTTGGGGTTTGGGTGTGAGAGCCTAATATAAAACAAAATAGTGAATTATTGCTGATTATTGTTACTGCTAACACAAGCATGGGATTGAAGTAGCAAGATAAAAGTGAGCATGCTGATGTATACTTCAGAAAGAGCAGAGAATATCATTGGGCACAACTTTGTTATTTTAGAGGTAGGAGGATCACTTGAGGCCAGGAGGTCAAGGCTGCCGTGAGCCATGATCACATAGTTGCACTACAGCCTGAGTGATAGAGCAAGACCCTGTCTCTTAAAATAATAATAATACTAATAAAAATTTATTTTAAAGACCAGGTAGACATCCTTAGATAGAGGTTTTCCGCAATCAGATCCTTATTTAAGCAATATATAGCAGTTAAACGTATGTTCTTTGTGCATTCAAACCTTCAGACTACCAGTGTGCCTTGTGACGCTAACTTTAGCACTAAATTGTAGCTGCTTCTAACACAAAGTTAGGATTATAATAATATCTACTTTATAGTATTGTAAGGATAATAAGGTAATCATTATCCTTATCCTGGTTACATATCACTGCAAGATAACTAAATCAATCTCATCATACATTCGCATATGTTCTCTTACCCATTATACATGTTTTTAGAACTTAACCCTCTCTGTCAGACTTATTTTATTACCTATAAAGTTTTGTGAGTCGAATATTATGAGAATATTTTCTAAAGATATACAAATAGAAAACAAACGTAGCAAAAAAATGGATCTAACAGATAATAAAAATGGACCCCTATTAGATTAATAAAGAGTAAAACAAAAGGATATTACTAAATAAGACAGAAAATTTGAAAACATGGAAGCTCTATTTGGTCAAAAATTACTGAACAACTTTTAGAAAGCAATTTGCTGTATTTATCAAATTATGTCCATATTCATGAGCTGATAATTGTATTTCTAGGAGTCTATCTTGAATAATTTCTTCCCTAATTCTGTAACATAAAATTAAATGCATATATATATATATATATATATATATATATATATATATATGTACATTGGAAATGATGAACTGTAGAAAATATAGCCTCATGAAGAAATGGGTAAAGCAAGTCATAAGGAGAAAATAAACTGTTGATTTTCTCAGTGCAAGAGTGTCATCTGAACACCTACTATCTACCCACAAAAACTGAAAATTAAAATTAAAAAATTAATAAAGTGTCATCTGAAACAGACTGACATTGTTTCCTCGTTCTGAGAAAACGCTGCTCCACTCACATAATGAGCTAGAATAATTCTGACTTCAAAATTTGAAAAGGGTCATATAAGAAGGAAAAATTATAGGCCAATCTCGCTCAAAAACAAAAATACAAAATTCCTTTAAACAAAGAGCAATACAAATTCAGGAAAACAGAATAATAAAATAGCATCCATTTGAGATCACACAGCAATGCAATGTTGATGAACTGAATGAACATTTGATAATAATTTAATACAATTCACTGTATTAACAGAATAAAAGAAAAACTGTATATATAATATATATATAGTTACTTCAATAGGTGCAAAAGCTGTTTAAAAATAATAATTATTGTTGTAAAGAAAATTTTCATAAAGAATATAAAAAGTATATATGGCTGAAAAGTTTAATATCAGCCATAAGCACACAATGCTATCTAGGAATGACACTGTGATCTACTCCCCTTATTTGAAATATCAACGCTGAAGGCAAAAATAATTTTAACAAAAAAGCCAAAAATGTAAACATAAAGTAGAAGGAGGTGAGGTTCACAGCACATGAGGTGAGGAGGTGAGGTTTACAGCACATCTAATTCAAAAGGACTTTAGAGGCCAACTAGTTGAGTGGTTATCAGATTCATCTGATCATCAAAATCCCTGGAAATTTTTTTTCCTTTTCAACTTTTATTTTAGATACAGGGGATAAATGTGTAGATTTGTTACAGGGGAATCTTGTGTGATGCTCACACATACGATGGGATCCATACTCTAAACCTCACATACTGAGTATGGATCTCACAGGTAGTGAGCATAGTACCTGATAGGTGGTTTTTAAACCAAGCTCCCTTTTCACCCTCTAGTAGTCCACAGTGTCTATTGTTACCATATTTATATTTGTATGAGCTCAATGTTTAACTCCTAGTAATAAGTAAGAACATGCAGTACTTGGTTTTCTGTTCCTGAGTTAATTTGCTTAGGATTATGGCCTTCAGCTCTACCCATGTTGCTGCAAACAACATTATTTTATTCTTTTTTATAGCTGCATAGTATTCCATGGTGTATATTTACCATTTTTATAAATCCAAACTATTATACCACTGATGGACATCTGGGTTGATTCCATGTCTTTGCTATTGGGAATAGTGCAGTAATGAGCATACAAGTCCATGTGTGTTTTTGGTAGAATGATTTATTTTCTACTGAATATATATCCAGTAAAAATGGTAAAAGAAAAAACACCCTACAAAATAGAGTGTTATGCCACCAAAAATGATAAAGTAAGGAGCTAATCTAAAATCCCTCTTCCATAAAGAAATGAAAAATTGACAAAAATTTACAGAGCCACTGTTTCCATATCCCGGAGATTAAGGAAAGGCTTACAGCAACCCAGGGAACATTTATTAAAGAAAAGTAGTTTGGTTCTTAACAGTAAATACTAAAAAGAGCCCGTTAGGTTGAAGTAAAAGTCCTAGACAGTAACTTGAATACATATGAAGAAATAAAGAGGACTAATAAAGGTAAATGCATATGTAAATGTAAAATACATAAATACGTATTTTATTTGTAATACTTTTTTCTCCTACCTGATTTAGAGGATAACTTCACAAAGAAACACCTACAAATCGACTTGTTGTTCAGCACAACATGTATAAAGATGTAATTTGTATGACAATAACAGCCCGGAGAAAGGGTAAAAACAGAGCTATAAGGAAGCAAAGTTTTAAAAATATTATTGAAATTAAATAGATATTAATCCAAACTTGATTGTTATAAGTTAAGGTGATAATTCTAAGCCCCAGGGAAACCACTAATACAAGATAATTAAAACAATATACTAGCAAACATATGTTTAACATGAAAGAAGACTATAATAAGAAAGAGAAACAGAAAAGATACAAGACATATAGAAACAAATAACAGAGTAGCGGATGCCCTACCTTATTATTAATGACTAAATGTAAATAGATTAAATACTTCAATTAAAAGGCAGATATAAGCAGAATGGATTGAAAACATGACTTATCTATATGACGCCTATAAAAAACTCACTTTTGATTCAAACATACAAATAGGTTGACAGAAGATTCATGAAAAAAATATACAGTATGCCAACAGCCATAAGCAAAAGAGAGTTGGAGTGGATATATCAACATCAGATAAAATGGACTTTATAACAAAACATCTTTACATATATATATATATACATATATATATATATACACATATATATATAATACTTTCAGTTTTAGGGTACATGTGCACAACGTGCAGGTTAAATATGTATACATGTGCCATGTTGGTGTGCTGCATGGCACACACCAATGTTAAATGATGGTTAACTCATCATTTAACATTAGGTATATCTCCTAATGCTATCCCTCCCCCCTCCCCCCACCCCACAACAGGCCCCGGTGTGTGATGTTCCCCTTCCTGTGTCCATGTGTTCTCATTGTTCAATTCCCACCTATGAGTGAGAACATGCGGTATTTGGTTTTTCGTCCTTGTGATAGTTTAATAGAGAGAGAAGGACATTGTGTAATGATACAAGCATAAACCCATCAAGAAGATTAAACAATTTTGTACACGTGTGTATGTGTTTATTTATTTCATTAAATGGCAACAGAGCCCTAAAATACATAAAGAAAAAAACTTACGTAATTCAAGGGAGAAATAGACAGTTTCACAATAATAGACAAAAATTTTAGTACTTTTAAGTAGAACACTAAGATAGTGTTCAGCAAGGAAATAAAAGACTTGAAAAACTCTGTAAGTCACCTAGACTTAATGTATTTATAAAACACTCCACCAAACAACAGTAGAATACAATTTCCTCAAGTGCACATAGAACATTCTCCAGGATAGACCATGTATTAGGCCCTAAACCAAGTCTCACTAAATTTAAAAGGATTAGAATCATGCAAACTATGTTTTCTGATTACAATGGAATCAAATTAGAGATCAATAACACAATAAAACTTGAAAAATTAACAAATAGTGGAAGTTCAACAACATATTCCTAATATCCATTGGACCAAAGAAAGAATTACAAGGCAAATTATAAAATGCTTTAAAATGAAAATGAAAACACAGCATACCAAAACATACGTAAATCTTTGTGACTTTGGATTAGGCAATAATTTCTCTGATTTGACACCTGAAACACAAGTAACCAAAGAAAAATAGATATTTAATTTTATCAAAATTAAAAACTGTTGAGGTTTAAATGACACAATCTAGAAAGTTCAAAGAAAACTCACCAAATGAAAAAAAAAATTGTGAAGTTATATCTGACATGGGTCTCGTATCCAGAATATATAAAGAACTCTCAAAAATAACTAAAGACAAATAACCTACTTAAAAATGGGCAATGGATTTGAATAGACTTTTCTCCAAACAAGACATGCACATAACCTTAACCACATAATATTGCTCAACATCATTAGTCATTAATAAAATGCAAATTTAAACTACAATGATATACCAATTCACAACCATTAGGATAGCTGTAAGTAATTTAAAAAATGGAAGATAACAAATGCTGTCAAAATTGTCAAGAAATTAAATTCCTCATCTATTGCTTGTAAGAATGTAAATTGGTATAGCCACTCTGGAAATCTGTTTGGTAGTTCCCCAAAAAGTGAAACATATGCCCCAGAAATTCCAATTCTAGTCAGAGTTCATAGGTTTTTATTTCATTTCAGAGAAATAAGATGTTTATCCAAAAACTTGTACACAAGTATTCATAGCAGCAGTACTATCGACAATCAAAACTGAAAACAACCTAAATTCCCATCAACTGATGAATGAATAAACAAAATTTCTATATCCTTACAATGGAATATTACATAGCTATAAGAGGGAATACAGTATTCATACATGCCATAACATGGATGAAACTTAAAAACAATATGCCAAGTTAAGGAAGCCAGACACATTATTATTATGTCATATCACTTATTAGAAATGTCCAGAATAGGCAATTCCAAAGAGTCAGAAAATAGTTTAATGGTATCCAAAGGCTGCATTTAGGGAGAATGGGAAGTAAATGCTAATGGTTGCAGGGTTTCTTTTGGGGTTGTGTAAAATGTTTTAGAGTTAGACAGTAGTGATAGCTGCATAACCTTGTTAACATGATAAAATTTACTGAATTGTACACTTTAAAAGGATAAATTTCATGGTAAATGAATTATAAATCATTTTAAAAGAGAAGTAAACAATATTCATGATTTTTTTCTTTAAAAGAAGACAGTATGAACTTCCACTTCCAGCCATGAGGTACTACTGGATTTAATTTCCCTTCATAATCAACAAGAAAACTGGATAAAATATACCACTACATTGTGTTTAAGCATTAGTCTACATGCAACACAAGACTAAGATCCTTGAGGGAATAAAATATAAGATTAATATTATGATCAACCTAGTTTCCTCCTTGGAGGTACTTTCTACATTTCAGGGCAGCAAAGGCAATTCAAAGCAGAGTACAGTTGACCTGATGAGTTAGAAACAGAAAATGGAGTTCAGAGAGCTGGCAATGGCCAAAATCTACATCCAGGACAACAACAACAACAACAACAACAACAACAAAACAGAAAAACTCTCCAGAAGTTTCTATGGGGCCCACTTGAGTTGTTATTGAATAGTAAGATGAATACACAAAGGCTAAATCTTCTAAAATCAAGGAAAAATTTTGTAGAGCTATAAGCTGAACTGTGTGAGTTTACTCAGGAGACGTATGATGTCTGATCAGCCAGAGAAGACAGTCTTTTAAAAATACCCAAGACTGGACGGGTGCGGTGGCTCATGCCTATAATCCTAGCACTTTGGGAGGCCGAGGCGGGTGGATTACCTGAGATCGGGAGTTCGAGACCAGCATGACCAACATAAAGAAACCCCATCTCTACTAAAAATACAAAATTAGCCAGGCTTGGTGGCGGATGCCTGTAATCCCAGCTACTTGGGAGGCTGAGGCAGGAGAATGGGTTGAACCTGGGAGGTGGAGGTTGCGGTCAGCCGAGATCATGCCATTGCACTCCAGCCTGGGCAACAAGAGTGAAAACTCCATCTCAATAAAAAATAACATAACATAGCATAACATAACATAACATAACATAACATAACATAACATAACATAACAACATAACATAACATATAAAATAAAATAAAATAAAATATAAAATAAAATAAAATATAAAATAAAATAAAATAAAAATACCCAAGACCCTAGTCGACCCTGGGCAATTCCTTAAATACCAGATACTTCCTTAATACTAAGGTTAAAGTAGCTTAGAGAAGCCTACTCTAAACCCATCTTAAAATATTTAAAAATAAAATGACATAATTAGCCTAGCCCACAAGTAAATTTGCGACTGAACAAAGACTACTACTTTTGAATAAAAAAAGAATCCAGCACTCAGAAATATTTTTAGTGTCCACCATTGATAAATGTAATAAAGCATAAAAATATACATCGTAATGAGTAGAATTGGAAACTGATTCAAATAAGCTCAGAAATTACCAAGATGTGGAAATTAGGATAAAATAACTTTAAGAGAGCTGTCATAAATATGCTCAAGTATATAAATAAAAAATATAAACAGAATGAAGAGAGGAATGGAATATATTAACAACATCAAGATTTTGTGAGGTGAAAAATGTTAGGCACCACAAAGGAAATTATCAGTAAACTAGAAGACACAGCAATAGAAAATCTCTAAACCAAAGTACAGAGACAAAAATGTGAAAGGAAAAACTGAACAGAGTCCCAGCAATATGCAAGAGAATGCCAACTGGCCTAACACGTATGTAACTGGAGTTCCAGAGGAAAGGATAAAATGGGGACCAAAATGTTCTGAATTTGATTGAAAGTTATAATAAAAAAAGTCAAGAAGTTCTACCAACCTCAAGCGAGATAAATCAAAAGAAAATCACAAGAAGACATATCACAATTCATATGGGAAACTTGTCATACAGAAAATATCTTACAGTAGCCATGGATAAAAGAACAACCATATACTGAAAAACCAGGATTTGAATAACTGAATGCTTATTATAAAACAGGATTCGAATTGTTAAAAAAACTGAATGAAAACAACAGAGTCAACACAATCATTTAAGTATGAAAAATATCCTTCAAAATGAAAGTGAAATGAAGACTTTGTAAGTCAAACAAAAGCAAGACATATCATGGTTGATATTATTCTACCACAAAAACGGAAAGTAAAGGAAGTCCCAAATTAAAAAAAAGTAGCAAGGTAGTAGATATAAACCCAACATATCATTTACATTATATGTAAATAGTATAAGAAGTCTACTAAAAGGCAGACATTGCTAGAATGAACAATACAAGCAAGAGCCAACTATTTGCTGCCTACCTTGAATCCACTTTAAATATAAAGGCACAGACTACTTAAAACATAAAAAGATGAACAAAGATATACAATACAATGCAAATAGTAATTATAAAGGAGCGAAAGCAGTCACATCAATATCTGACTCTGTAGATTTCAGAAGAAAAAATATAATCAAAAGTAAAGAGAAGCATGTCATATGAGAAGGGGCTTAATCAATCATGAAGACACACCAATCCTAATCTGTTTGCACCTAATTTCAGAGTTTAAAATAGATAGAATCAAATATTTCTTATCAAATCAAATCCTCCACCTGACTTGAAAAATAACATAAACATAAAAACCTACAAAAAATGTTTATAGCAGTTTTATTCATAATCACCAAAAACAGAGAAAAAGCAACCAAGAAGTCCTTCAATATACAAATGGATACACCAACTGTGGTGGAAATACAATGGGATACTATTCCATATAACAAAGAAAGAGCTATTAATCCATGCAACAACAAGAATGAATCTTGAATGTATATTGCTAAATGAAAGAAGACAGTTGAAAAGGCTACACTTTGTACAATTTCATTTGTCTCATGTTCTGGAAAAGGCACATCTGTGGGCACGGAAAACAGAAGAATGGTTTCCAGGTGTTTGAGGAGGGGAAGTGGTTATCTGTAAAGGGGTGCACAGGGGAGTTTTGATCATGACACATCTAGACTGTATGGTACTAGAGTCTTGAGTTTTGTACTATGAACCTAGAGTCCCATTAATGCTCAAATTCTTTATTTGAACTCAGAAGTATAAATGTTTGCAAAATTATTTGGAGTCTCTTTACTAGAATCTACTCTGTAGGATACAGTATCTCTATTGTATTAATAAAGCAGCTTTCACTTTTTTACTCTAAAATACTTGCCCTAGAAACCAAGCACATGGCTCTTGTGAAGCTGTCAAAATGCCAAGGTGTTTGCCGTGTAATATGCACAGTCACATGATGACTCCCCATCAATTTTTGACACGCCCAATAGTGCTTTTCTAAAGCTCTTCGGAAACATAAAGAATTAGCTAACAAAATTACTCATTGCTTTTTAAAAAAAGTGTTACATCTCTTACAGAACAAAGCATTTCCATTAGGCCTGCTGCTTCTTCCATTTGTGAAATCCTCAAGGTGATGCACCATAATTATTGTGGGCAAACAAATTGTCTCACGTAATTATCCCTGATTAAAGGTATTTCTGCTATCACAACTCTCCTCTGGGTCTCTTGGTCACTACAGTCCAGTGACGACAAATTCCTAATTAGCTTGTAATAATCGTGATGGCTTTTCTTATATCAGTGTGCTGAGTATACTGATACTGCAGAGTGTAAAAGGTGAAGACTGAAGTCTGGAAAGACATGGGTTCTCTATCTTTGTCCCTCATCCAATGGCTCCTGGTGAATTTTGTTTTCCTGGGTTGGTGCTGATATTTTAAGGCCAGGGACAGAGATTGAGTCAGAACAGAACAGAGACCAGAGACAGTCAGTTATCCTCCGTATTGTTTTAAATTAATCTTTGAATATTCTACACCCATTTTACCTATTTACCATTGTCCCAATACCTAACTCTGAAGAGTGACTGCTGCCATCACTTTACTAAAACCAGGTGTTTTACACTTTTGATTGGATATACCTTAATTTCAATATAATATTTTATAATTATTCTTATCTTTGAATTGACTTACTCATTTTGGATCATGTTTTTCAAAAACCGGAGACTGCATTTGGGAGAGGGAATTCTACTCTTTTTTTGAGGAAACACAGAGCACCTGGGAGGGTATGTAATTTGCTTACAACTATAAAGTTATTGAGTGAAAGATAGAATTGGAAAATATATTTTCTATATCCTAGGCTAATACATGTATTTAATTTTTAAAAATTAATATATTCTTTTATCTCAATAACTTTTAGGATACAAGCAGTTTTTGGTTACACTGATAAATTATATAGTAGTGAAGTATAAGATTTTTAGTTCACCTATCACCCACAAACACAAGTAGTGTACATTGTACTCAAGATGGCTAATACATTTTTGATAGTCCATAATGTCTTTGGCCAGCATCCATTGATTTGAACTTCAGGTTTTTAAAGCTTATAGTTTAGAATGGTCCTTGTTAATCTATGACTAGAAAGTAGTAATATAAACCACTAATGAAATTTAACATTTCTTGCTGGATATATATTCTATTTGTGAACAAAAGCATATCCCATATATAATTCCTTAAAATATATTTTAAAATATTACTATTATGGTAAATTCATTATATCACTACTGCACAAGATGTTTGATTTAGTTATATAATGATTATATATATCTGTCAGAAGCAAGTAAAAAGTCACCTACACTTTGAATCAAGGGAAAGTCAGATGAAAGGAAGAAAACCCTAAATCTTCCCTGATGAAATTTTTGATAAAATAATGCAATATCTTACTACTTCAGAGTCTTTACAGATCCCAAATCATATAAAAATCACTATTATTGATGGTACTTCCTAAAACATTCTCCAGTTTTATAGATCCAGTGAGGCTGAATCCTTTGCAAAATTGTGAAGCAGAAGATTTTGTTTTCAGCATTTCTTCTTTTCAGTCTACTCTTTTTCTCCTTTCAGATTCCCGACTGCTCCAAATGCTCCTCTAGTTGCCTAAGACTTAGATTAAGATACAGCATCCAGACCTGTCTCACCTCCTTGAAAACAACTCAGCTACAGACACCCTGAATCCACTTCTGTCTTGTTTAGAAGTGAATTCTTTATGACTTATCTCCTGAGGGATTGTTCTGTTTTCTTAGGAGATGTGGAAGTAACAACGAAATTCTTCCCAAGCATTAACAACTATAGATTATAGGATAGCTCCACACTTTCCATTTCATCTTAGGTAAGTAAAAGTGTTTTGTCAGCATCCTTCTGAAGACCATGCACCAGCATTTGTCTCCAATATAGTCTATAATAGAGAGACTGCTATTTCTCTGATCTGCATTTGGAGTGGGAGGGGGGTCAGGGGAACAGCAATATTGGCAAGTTTGTGAAAGATACCTATTTGAACTTGTAGAGTTTGGTGGCCCCTGTAAACGATACCTATTTATTTCACTTCATCTATCAGTCATAATGTCTGAGATAGAAATATTGAGGCAAGATTCATTTGACAGAATTTAAAATAGGAGGGAACTGATATTTGCTGAGCACAGCCCTGTATACATGCATTAATCCATCTTCAAATTTTCAAGAATTTTTTTAAAAAAACGTCTTTACATAAAACATCTACTTATTGGAAACTCATTCTTGTGTGAGTCAGACCACATAATGTAAAATTATGAGAAAATACTTCTTCTGATCTAAAATAATACATTATTAAGAATGCATACATATACTTAGTCACTACAGTTGGTTAAAGAATTTTCATTTATATAATCTTTTAAGAAATATTTTTAGTGTCTCTTTGAGGTTAATAGTCTCAAGATTTAATATTTGATGATAATAATCCCTGAATGGCTAAAGGAACTGCTCAGCGTCACACAGTTACCCAATGATACAACATAGAACATTTTAAAATAATAGCTTTGTTTTCACTACAGTACAGCGATTTTATTGGGAACAAAAATACAGTCCATTTTATCTAATAGGGAATGTACTAGGGGTAAAGGGAAGTGAATTCGTCAGCTTGTCTAAATAAGGAAAGGGTTATTAATATTAGCAAATAATTTTTAGGGAGACAAGTTATAAACCTAACTGCCTCATCACCAGTGCACAGCACAGTGCCTGGGGAAAAGCAGGCATTTAAATTTATATAAAGTAAATGAACCAAAAAAGAATGGATTTAGGTAAGAAACAGGTTCAGAGTTCATGTGTTCCACCACTTTCATCTTATATACTAAGAAAGTTCTTGATTGAATCAATTTGCCCAATGTTTTCTCCATGAAAAACAGGGTCTTTTCTTTTTCTGAGCACCTGAAGAAGCCAATGAAAATGGAACAATAGAGCTCTGCAGAAGAGTCAGAAAAGCTATCGGGAGGATGATTCTTATGACTGTCGTTCACACAGTTGGATTATGTGTCTTAGCCTAAAGACACCAGGAAGTTTCTGTGCTCAGAAATGCCTCCTGATGCCCCTCTCTGCTGCAGCACCCGGAGGGTCTCCATAGGACACTCATTCCTTGTGCTTATGGCTTTTCTCTTTCTGATGGAGTACCTATGAACTCCTATTCGCTGATTTTGTTAGATTTTACTTCTATTCATGCCTTAGGGATTCAATGCAGTATTTACGTCACAGGATTGAAGGGTCAGGACTTCTGGGAAGTGAGAAGAAAGAGAGATTTGTATAATTTTTTTCGGTAGCCTGCTTTACCTTCAAGCTCCACTTGTTAAACTCTTCTAACAAGCCTAGAGCCATAGTTTTGATATAATCTGTGATAATACAAGAGTTCTCCCTTATCCATGGTTTTGTTTTCAGCAGTTTCAGTTACCTCAGGTCAACTGTGGTCCAAAAATATTAACCTATTTTGAGAGCGAGAGAGAGGAAAAAAAGAAACACATTCACATAAATGCTATTTCAGTATCTTGTTATACTTTTTTATTTTATTGTTAGTTATTACTGTTCATCTCTCACTGTGCCCAATTTATAAATTAAACTTTATCTTAGGTATGCATGTATAGGAAAAATATAGCTTATATAGGAATCAGTACTATCAGTGGTTTCAAGCATCCACTGGAGGTCTTGGAACACATCATTTGCAAATAAGGGAGAAAATTTGTATTTTTTTGGGAGAATTGGAGATTTGAAATACAGAGGTGAGTCTAAATTTGGTTTCTGGGAGTTAAAATTATTTATCACACGTTCTGTTCTTATAAATAAACCCTCCAGTCTAACCCAAAGAGAGACTTAGCAATTTGCAGCTATGATCTAAGAAGACATTAATATCAAAAATTGCAAGTGGTTAGAAATGAGTAAAATAAAAGACATCCTCTCCCAAGACCTGGTTAAGATGTAGAGAAAGATTCTTCAAAATCAGATAATGTAATGCTCCTTTAAAATTCACATTTTATTTTTTCTTATTTACCATAAAACTTTTCTAAGTTCTAAATAGTTTCTACAAATAAAAATAACATAAAAGGAAGAAAGTTCTGATAACATAGAATATAGACTAACTGAGTAGAAAAGAAAAATCTTTTTTTTCTGGTCTGATTTCCTTAGTAATAAGTAATATAACTTATTAGTTATATTAGTATTTATAGTAAGCAATATAACTTATAAGTTTTTAAGTCACGTCACATCAAATGAAATATCAATCATAGCTCAATAAACTGTCTATGGTTAGTAACACCAATGGCTAAGTTTAAAGACGCTTCATACCTTCAGGGATTAATTGAAAGGAACCAGTGTGCTAGATTTCATGATAAAGTAGAACTCCATGAAAAGCTGAATCATAAAAGAGTTCCAATAATATTGGGGCCTTTCAGTTTTGCCAGGGTTCTGTACTTTAGTTTACATAATGTTTAACTATAGAGAAGAAATAAGATATAATCACTTAAGGCAATGATTTCTCCTGTGAGCTCTCTTACACAAATCTAATGCTGTCTCTCTTTCTATTTTAATTTTCATAATTATGCAACTTATGTATAGAAAAGAGAAAAAAGCAAAAGTTCATATTTCAGTAAGTTTTCATAAAGTAGACACTCCCATGTAACTATCAACCACATCAAGAAAGAATATTACCAGCACTTCAGAAACCCCTCCCATGACCACTTCCTGTCCCTTAAGGATAACTGCTATGAGGTTTTTCTACACCTTAGTTTTGCCATTTTTGAACTTCATTTAAATAGACCAATACAGTGTATACTCTTTTGTGTCTAACTTTTTTAGTCATCAAGTTTGTGAAATTATCTTCCTCTGTGGCAGATGTTCAAAAAATTTTTACTATCATTTACTTTAGAAAAATTGGTTTAGATTTTGTCTCTGTAGACTTTTAGACTGGATTTCTGTAGTGTCACAAAAATGCTCAAATTCATTTTTAAATTGTCGATTTTATTTCTTAAATTAATGTATTTAGATATCCCAGTTGGTTGAACATCTCCTTGACAACTCTCCCCTTTAACCCAATCTTCCACACTTAGCTGTATAACTTGTAATAACTCATGAAAACCCAGACACATACATAGGAATAGGAATTGGAATTCTGAAAAGTTTAAGTGTAACTGGAAAACCAAACCCATGCTCACTTCATTAACTGATCTCTGTTTCTCTCCTATTCATGTAGCTGAAATTAAGTCCCTTCCAAAATTCAATGAATGAGACAAATCATTCTTGGGTGACAGAATTTGTGTTGCTGGGACTGTCTAGTTCAAGGGAGCTCCAACCTTTCTTGTTTCTTATATTTTCACTACTTTATCTAGCAATTCTGTTGGGCAACTTTCTCATCATCCTCACTGTGACCTCAGATTCCCGCCTTCACACCCCCATGTACTTTCTGCTTGCAAACCTGTCATTTATAGACGTATGTGTTGCCTCTTCTGCTACCCCTAAAATGATTGCAGACTTTCTGGTTGAGCACAAGACTATTTCTTTTGATGCCCACCTGGCCCAGATTTTCTTTGTTCATCTCTTCACTGGCAGTGAAATGGTGCTCCTAGTTTCCATGGCCTATGACCGTTATGTTGCTATATGCAAACCTCCCCACTACATGACAATCATGAGCTGCTGTGTATGTGTTGTGCTCGTCCTCATTTCCTGGTTTGTGGGCTTCATCCATACCACCAGCCAGTTGGCATTCACGTTAATCTGCCATTTTGTGGTCCTAATAAGGTAGATAGTTTTTTTCTGTGACCTTCCTCTAGCGACGAAGTTAGCCTGCATAGACACTTATGTTGTCAGCCTACTAATAGTTGCAGATAGTGGCTTTCTTTCTCTGAGTTCCTTTCTCCTCTTGGTTGTCTCCTACACTGTAATACTTGTTACAGTTAGGAATCGCTCCTCTGTAAGCATGGTGAAGGCCCACTCCACATTGACTGCTCACATCACTGTGGTCACTTTATTCTTTGGATCGTGTATTTTCATCTATGTGTGGCCCTTCAGCAGTTACTCAGTTGACAAAGTCCTTGCTGTATTCTACACCATCTTCACGTCTATTTTAAACCCTGTAATCTACATGCTAAGAAACAAAGAAGTGAAGGCAGCTATGTCAAAACTGAAGAGTCGGTATCAGAAGCTTGGTCAGGTTTCTGTAGTCATAAGAAACGTTCTTTTCCTAGAAACAAAGTAAACTCATGAGACTGTTACCACTTTAGCCCTGTCTCCATACACTTACAAGTGGATTCACTGTAATCTTAAAGCAAATCAACTTGGCCTGTGGGAAAGGTCAGTTGATTGATTCGAAGCAAACTGTAATGATAATAAAAACTCATGAAATAAACTTTAGTGATTTTAAGTATTCTTTCTCCATTGTATATCTTTTAAATTTCCTACTTTGTATTCTTTATTTTAAAACTTAAGATATAGACTTTGATGACATTGAGAAAATGACATTGCCTTATAAATAACTGGTTACTATACTATTATCTCTCCCTTTGAAAACAGTACCACTCACACCAACTTTGGAGTAATGATAGGTGCATATCTCCAAGCCACAGAGATAACAGATCTATTTATAAGTATATGATACGTGATATACAGTATGTGATAGATCTAGATACGAATGCATTTTATACTGCACTATATATCTGACAGCACATGAAGACACGTCTATGAATGGTGTGAAAGATACAGTAAAATGTAAAAGGGCATGACTAACCAGCAGAAGGCATTTACTTTCAACACTTTCACAAACCCTTCGTCACAGTGGCTGCTTAATATATGTTGTTCATGAAAAACAACCACCTGAACAAATTATTTACTGGTGTGTTATGTATTGGCCTATGTTAACTTCTGTTTAATACTGATAAAATAATCTGGGGAACCAGAGATGAGTTATAATTCTCTACCACCTATCTTCATGATAGTAGGAGTCTGAATCTTAGTATAAAATATTTTCCCCCTAGATTTTTATGATCTTATCTTCTTAGAGTATTTTTATATTAGTACTTGGTAGATATTATAATTTTTTCTATGTGGACTTTTTAATTCAGTTGACGTTTCATTTTTAAATTGCCCAAGTAAGCTCTGAAAATGACAGAACCCTATTTCAAGACCTTAGATTTCATCATAAATTTACCCCTCCTTGATCACTTACAAGACCAAGACTTTTGGGGATTCACCACTACAGGCTATTTTAGGCTTTTCCTCTTTTATAGCATTCAAGGCTATTTCTATATTTTTTTACTGGGTTCTAGTCACAGTCTGGTATAATGTTAACCAATTGTTTTCCAGACTCAGTCTTTAGAGTCTCCTAAAGGGATTCAATAATTCCTATTAGTGAAGGGAAAAACATGTTTCTGAGCCAAAGCATTCCGAGTTATTTAAGAAATAACAAAATGAAAAGAAAACAAATGTGCATTAGCATTTAAGAAAAAAATTAAATACAAAAAAGTATAAGAAAAAAAGTAAGTATAAAAACGTAGTAAAACTTTTTACAATAATACAACACTTCCAAAATTTTACAATATTTTTGCATATTCTAATTTTATGCATAAAACAAATGATATCTTGTGGTACTAGTACTAATTACAACTGAGTTGACATTGAACAACAAGAAATGTAGTAATAGTTTTACATCTTTTTAAGCTTTAAAATATCTCTAGGATATATTCATTCCTTTCATTTTACATCTGATAAAAATAAGATAAAGAAGCATTAAGAATACGGTGCAATATTATAAAGCTAGAAAATAGCAGAATGGATTTCCTACGCAGGTTTTGTGGTGTTTTGTTTTTTTGGTTTCTTTGACCCAGATGGCACACTTTTTAAATGTATTACTGCTTATAGTAGTACATTTACTGTGTATTATAGTTGGAGTACAGTGTGCCTTGTCCAGAAAATATGATTCTCTGGTTATCCTCTCACACACTTTTTCCTATTCCTAGTATGCAAAAATGTCTCCGAATATTATGTTTTTCACTAAAGAGGGTACCCAAGTTCCTTGCAAAGTTACTCAAATAACAAGAGCTCAGGCTGACTGGTACAGTTTTTCTGTAAACTGGACATTAAAATAAAAGCACGATGGGTTTTTCTTAAAGCACTAACCTGTTCTTTAACAAAAATTATAAAGGCTTAAAAAGAGTCTATAAAAATCTTACCTTATGGTCAGACATTAAAATTGGATAAATATGCCTACAAGGTTTTATTAAAATTGAGTTTAACATTAATGGCACACTAATATAAAGGTGAAATTTAGCTTATCTGGTATAAAATCATACAGGAAGCATTGTCAAATATAAAATGGTGTTTGGCTTTCTTTGGTCTAAAAACTAATAAAAATAGGTGCTAAAGAGAATTTAGAAGGAAAATGGATATTGCTAGACCAGAGAGAAATGTTATCCAAGCCCCTTATAAGGGAGTTCTTGTTCCAACTGCATCAAGGGACCGATTGTGGGTCCCAAGCCATGTGTGATGCAGTCCTCAGAGTTTATGGGTGCATAGGAATTTATACCCTGGCCAAACAGGTTACAGACAGTTGCTTAGTAAAAGATTACCCTTTGGGCGAAGGAGTCCAGGCTTAAGGCCATTCCAAAGTATCCAGATTGATTACACACAGATGCCTCCAATTGGTCGTCTGAAATATTTATTAGTAATAGTAGATCACCTTACTCATTGGGTAGAAGCTATTCCCTTTTCAAGTACAACTGCTAATAATGTAGTCAAGGCATTAGTTGAAAATATTATACCCAGGTTTAGATTAATAGAAAACATTAATTCAGATAACAGGACTCATTTCACGGCACATGTCATTAAGAAATTATCCCAGGTACTGGATGTAACATGGGATTATCATACTCCCTGGCACTCATCTTCATTAGGGAAAGTAGAAAGGCCTATTACCCTGTTAAGAGTCTGAACTGCTCCCCCAAAAGACACAGGCCTATCCCCTTAAGAGATGCTTTATGGATCACCTTATCTACATTCTACTACTGATCTTCCTACATTTGAAACAAAAGATCAGTTTCTCAGAAATTATATACTTGGTTTATCTTCCATTTTATCTTCCCTCAGAACTAAAGGTCTTTTAGCACAGGTGCCACCTCTGAGTTTCCAGTACACCAACATCAGCCTGGGGACCACGTCCCCATCAAAATTTGGAGAGAAGGAAAAGCTGGAACTGGCCTGGGAAGGACCTTACCTAATGCTCCTAACTACTGAAACTGCAGTCCGAATAGCAGAAAAAGGATGGACCCGTTACACCTGAGTCAAGAAAGCGCCACCCCCTCCAGAGTCATGGGCCATAGTCCCAGGGGAAAACCCTACCAAACTAAAGCTAAGAAAAATTTAACTTCCTTTCATCTATTCTGTTACTCCTTCTTCTTTCCTCACTCTATTGCTGACCACCTAGTTATTAATGTAACCAAGTCAATTTCACCTCAAACTATTAAATTTGATGCTTGCCTTGTTACATCCTATGGAGACTTTTTAAGTCAAAGACAGCTCTCCACTTCAGAAAAGTACCTCTGTCCTTCCCGGCTCTTCTCAGACTGGACATTATTGAATTGGGATCATTTAGTCTGGGAAGATTTCAATGAGGACCCCGGCATCAGCTGGGAGTCTTGCCCCCCATAGAGCTTTTATGCTGCAGTTGGTCCAACGTTCTGTGGACCACTAAAGAGCAAGGATGGACTGCCTCAACCAGTAGTTGTAATTTCCTAAAGCCATACATTCATTTTACTAAAGGAACAGCTTCACCTAGCTGTCAGCTAAACCAGTGCAATCCAATACAGGTTATTACCCCAAACCCTCAAAGATCTTCCCCTTCTCTAAGCTGGTTCCCTTCTTTAAGCTGGTTTTTATGGTATGGGGGATGAGGTTTCAGGAACAGACCCTATCAGATACTTTGAAATATGTTTCATTGATCCCCCACCACCTACACCTTCCCCTAAGCCTTCTTCCAAAACCTCTCACAATGAAATAGTTGTTACTCCTCCATCTAATGATAGGACCAAAGTAGACGCCGTAGAAGTAAATGATTTAAAACAAACTTTAGCAATAGAGACAGGATATCAAGATGCAAATGCCTGGTTGGAATGGATCAAATATTCCGTCTGCAGGTGAAACAAAAGCAATTGTTATGCTTGAGTGCATGGCAGGCCAGAGGCCCAGATTGACCCCTTTCCACTAGGGTGGTCCTCCAGTCGACCAGGCATGGGCTGCATGGTAGCTCTTTTCCAGGATTACACAGCCTGGGGTAACAAGTCATGTCAAGTTCTCTCTCTGCTATATCCCAAAGTTCAACACTCTGCAGGTCAGCCCCTGAAGGCCATCCAGCTTCCATCTCCCCACATTAATTTCACTTCTTGTCTCTCATGACAGGGAGGAAACTTGGTGTTTCTTGGAGACCTGAAAGGATGCAATGAGCTTAAGACTTTCCAAGAGCTTACCAATCAGCAGCCCTTGTTCATCCCTGAGCAGATGTATGGTGGTATTGTGGTGGACCTTTACTGGACTCTCTGCCAAGTAACTGGAGTGGCACTTGTACTCTAGTCCAGTAGGCTATCCCTTTCACCCTGGCATTTCACCAACCAGAGAGAGGAAAAATACAACATCATAAAACAAGGGAAGCCCTTTATGTGTCTTCTGACTCTCGCATTTATTTAGATGTAATTGGGGTCCCATGAGGAGTACCAGATAAATTTAAAGCCAGAGATCAAATAGCTGCAGGATTTGAGTCAATATTTTGGTGGGTGACAATGAATAAAAACATAGATTGGATAAATTACATTTATTACAACCAACAGCAGTTTATTAACTACACTAAAGATGCTGTTAAAGGAATAGCTGAGCAATTAGGGCCTACTAGCCAGATGGCTTGGGAAAATGGAATAGCCTTAGACATAATATTAGCAGAAAGAGGAGGAGTCTGCATCATGATTAAAACTCAATGTTGTACCTTCATCGCAAACAACACCGCCCCCTGATGGAAGTACAACGAAGGCATTGCAAGGTCTAACTGCCCTGTCCAATGAGTTAGCCAAAAACTCAAGAGTGAATGACCCCTTCACAGGGTGGCTAGAAAAACGGCTCATTAAATGGAAAGGTATCATAGCCTCAATTCTTACTTCTCTTGCAGCTGTAGTAGGTGTACTCATTCTTGTCCAGTGTTGTGTCATACCATGCATCTATAGACTAGTGCAAAGACTTATAGATGCAGCATTTACTAAAACCTCCCTTAGCTCTCCTTCACCTTATTCAGATCAGCTTTTTCTTTTAGAGGATTAAGTTGAGCAGCAAAGCCAAGATATGTTAAAAAAAGTTTGAAGAGGAAATACTATGAAAATTGAAAGGGAGAAAATTGTAGGATATCATAAATTCCTCCTCAAAAGTTTTAGCCTGTAAATTGTTAAATACTATGAGTTCTGAGATCCTCTCCAAAGAACCAATGTATCAGTATGTTCGGCTCCCCGTTCTTTGCTCTTCATTTTAGAGTTGAATTTCCTTGTTCTTTATGTCTCCTTGCCCCTAGTTTCAGTAAACAACCTCCTCCTACCCTCTGTCACCTGCTCTGATCTTAGTCACCCTTGTTCACCTGCTCTGATCTTGGTCATCCTTGGTCACCTGCTCTGTTCTTAGTCATCCTGAGTCACCTTTTCTGTAACTGTCCTTCCCACCAAACTACTCATCCTGCCACTCTGGCTCATACCTCTGTTCTCTTTAAAATAGCCAATCTGAATTAGCTTAGATGTGCGGTCTGACCCTAGCCAATAGGGGAATGACGCAGCAGTAGGGGTGGTGAGGGATAAGAACCCCTTCCCCTCCCTTGTTCGGGTGTGCTCTCACCGTTGCTCCATCCATGAGACACACGCTTCTATAGAAGTAAAATTGCCTTGCTGAGAAAATTCATGTTCGAGTGCTATTTCTTTTGCGGCACCAAAAATTTATTTCCAACACTCTCTTCTAGCTATTTTGTAATATACAGGCTACCATGCATATGTGAATAGAATAGGAGATAATTGATCATATAGAGCAGAGATTGGCAAATTTCTTCTGTAACAGGCCAGATATTAAATATTTAGACTTTATGAGGTGCATATAGTCTCTGTTGCATATTGTTCCTTACTGTTGCATTTTTTTCTTTTTTACATCCCTTCAAAAATATAAAAACACTTCTTAGCTTGTGGGCCATACATAAACAGACTATGAGTGAGATTTGGCCCATGGAGCCATAATTTGCCAACCCTGGCTACAGATAATCAATTATAGTAGGGGACACAGAAAGCAAGTAAACAAGCAAACAAACAATAAGTAAGTGCTAAACTAACAAGAAAACATCACTACCTATAACATATAAATCACTCCCAAGGGATCCCTTGTAATACTATGGAGATCCTGTCCACTCTCCTCCCCCCAGAGAACCACTGGCCTACTTTTTGTCTCTTTAGATTAGTTTGAATTTTGTAGAGTTTTAGAAAATTGAAGTCATACACTAAGAACTAATTTTTTAATCTGTTTTTCACTCTGTCTAATCATTTTTTCAATTCATACATGGTCATTACAGGAAAGGTGTCTGGATCCAGACTCCAAGAGAGGGTTCTTGGATCTCATGCAAGAGAGAATTCAGAGTGAGTACACAGAGTAAAGAGAAAGCAAGTTTATTAATAAAGTAGAGGAATAAAAGAATGGGTACTCCATAGACAGAGTCGTCCCTACGGATGCTGGTTGCCCATTTTTTATGGTTATTTCTTGAGTATATGCTAAACAAGGAGTGGATTATTCATGCCTCCCCTTTTTAGACCATATAAGGTAACCTCCTGATGTTGCCATGGCATTTGTAAAGTGTCATGGCGCTGGCAGAAGTGTAGTAGTGAGGACAACCAGAGGTCACTCTTGTCACCATCTTGATTTTAGTGGGTTTTGGCTGACTTCTTTGCTGCAACCTGTTTCATCAGGGACTTGTATCTTGTGCCGACTTCCTATCTCATCCTGTGACTTAGAATGCCTTAACCTTCTAGAAATGCAGTCCAGTAGATCTCAGCCTTATTTTACCTAGCTCCTGTTTAAGATGGAGTTGCTCTGGTTCAAACACCTCTGACATTTCCCCCTCACTTTTATAAGAGAATCCTTAATACCAAGGGCTGCAAAGGGATGAAGATCCATCTTCTGAAACTTCTTCAGGCTGAATAGGGGTAATGATATTCCTGCCTAATTATTAGGGTCCCCTGTATTTGGGGTAGAGAGGAGCTCAGTCAGAAAGCATCAGTATGGTGAAGGCCATTCCTAACTCTGAGTTCTGACAAAAGGTGATATCTGGGAGATTATTAGTAAGTGTTTAATTTAAGGAAACATTGAATAAGTTTATCCTATGTTCCTACACAGAGAGTACAACAGCAATATATTCCACAAGAGTAGAGCAAAATAAGTAAAAATATCTGAAGTAAACTAAATTAGAAGGCTTTCCGTGAGCTGGGCAGTTGTTGGAACCAAGCTAATATGAGATTACTAGCCAATTCCAATATGTGCCCAGAATTAGAAATATTGATTCAGATTTTTACATTATCCATCCCTTGTTTCTTCTGAACAGCAGTCAGAGATCACTGGTTGGCTTAGAAGGATTCTTGTTAAAGGCTGGCCAAGAACTTAGCTATCAAAGGTTGGCAGTAAAAAAACGAATTTGATTTCAAGGTTGCAGGGATTCTTACCAAACTGACTTAACAGGATTTTTCACTAAAACCTGGCTAGGTAAGTCAAGAGAGTAGGGTGTTGTGTCAAAAGACAACAGGGGTGGCTATACTAATATCAGAAAAATTAGGATTTAAATAAAAATGTTTACAAGAGACATAAAAGGACATTATATACTGATGAAGGGTTAAATATAGTAGGAAGATATAACAATCATAAACGCTTACAAACCATCAAAATATTTGAAGCAAAAACTGACATAATGGAAGGGAGAAATAAGCAATTCTACAATAACAGTTTAAGACTTCAATACCCTACTTTCAATATGGATAAAACAAGCAGACAGAAGATAGGTAAGGAAAATAGAGGACTTAGAATAAACCAAATTGTTCTAACATATACAGAATATTTACCCAACAACAGCATACACATCCTTCTCAAGTGTATATGGGATATTTTCCAAGACAGAAAATATGTTAGGCCCAAATTAGGTCCCAGGAGAATTAAAAGATAGCCATCACACAAAATATCTTTTCTGAACACAATGAATTAAAGTGAGAAATCAATAACAGAAGTAAAACTGGAAAACTGACAAAATCGTGGAAATTAAACACACTCTTACACCATCAGTTGATTAAAGAAGAAACCACAGTAGAAATTAGAAAATATTTACAGACTAATGAAAATGACAACACAGCATACCAAAACTAATGGGATACAGCAAAAGCAGTACTAAGGAGAAAATTTATAGTGATAAATGTATACATTCTGAAAACAAAGTTTTTTTTTTTTTTTCAAGCTGACTGGGGAAATTACATGCCAGCTCTTCTCAGAAAGATCAAAGTTACCAGTGAATGAACAAGTTTTGAATGGAAAATATAGAGAAGTGAGGACCTGTTGGAGTAACCACGCGAAGAAGTTGAAGCCCAGAAGAAGAATGCAGCAAGACTCTGGCTGATATCAACCTCTGAGCAACACAGAGCTCAGCCAAAATGGTAGGTAGAAGTTGCTTCTTTCTACACCCCTCTGACCACCTGCCGAGTGCTAAACGGTTGGGGAGCCCCTTTGCCCTTGCTAGCCAGGGCAACACAATCAGTGATGATTAGAGAATTTCCTGAGAACACAGAACCAGTGGCCAGCTCGCACAGCCATACCCACTCTCCCCTTGGACCTGAACTGAGATGGTGGGCACCATACTGGTTGTGCACCAGTGTGTCACTTTCCTTCCCAAGGATCCTCTGCCCTTAAGTCATTGCACCACCAGACCACCTGCAAATATACTCCACAACCTGCTCTGACTTTGGCAAGCACAGGGGACCAGTGGGTGCCTGGGGTATTGTAGGTTCTCTGGAGATCTTACTCTCAGCATGGAGCCACCCTTTAAGGAGCTGGGGAGCACAGCCTGCGAAAGTACTCCCTGGGACAAACGAAATACAGATGTGGCACCAACTGAGGAATGAGACAGCATCAATATCCAGGAATAATTATGAAGAAGAGGATCGTCTCCCACCTTTCATCCACCGTACACTGTTATGAATGCAGTAGCAGTTCTTCCTGCAAGAGCTGGTGAGTGTGCACTGTAAGAAAGTGATTCTTTGTGCTTTCAGCAGGGGTGGTGGATCCATCCCTGCTGAAAATGAGACTGTGCCTGCTCTGGCTTTCACAAGGGGTGGGGTCCAACTCCCCCTTCCAACACAGAGTGGCAGCACCCTGACAACAGAGGATAGACTACAAAGTTGTCTGTCCTGTACTGGAGGAAGAGGTTCTACCCTGACCCTCGTTATAGTGGTAGCCATCAGAGAGGCAGATCCATGGCCCACAAAGGCACTGTGCTGGGAACTAAAGGATGAAGATTTTACAAACAAGGTCATGAGACCTGTGACAGGGATATGATAGGGAAGCAGACTGCATTTCTTCTAGTTCAGGATGAAGAGCTGGTGCACCCCTCCATCTCTTTCCTGGAGGCTTCAGGGCACTCCATCATGATCTCTTCCCACCATGCTCATCAGTGCAAATTCATCCAATGGGCAGCAGCTTACCTGCCATATCATACTCCTAAGTGCTATATACTGGACTACAGCCTGAAATGCACCATCAAATAAAAAATACATGGCTATACCAAACAATATCTGATAAAGCCACCACACAAAACGTATCCACATATCCACAACCAACATGTAGAGCCTTGTCGCCCACCAAAAGCATTCAGAAACTAAGCCAAAATACATAACATCCACCACAGTTACACCCTCAAGGGAAAAAAAATAAAGAGCCCCATCCAAACAATACAAATTCAAAAATAAGAAACAACACTTTCCTTAGATGAGAAAAATCAGCATAAGAACTCCAGCAGTACAAAAAATCACAGTGTTTCAACATCTCCAAAGGATTGCACTAGCTCTTTAGCACTGAAACCTAGCCAGATTGAAATGTCTGAAATGACAAATTAAAAATTTCTAAGTATGGGTTGTAAGGAAACTCAATATTCAAGAGGATGTTGAAATCCAATAGAAAAAAAAACAGGAAAATGATTCAGGATATGAAAGATGACATAGGTATATTAATGAAAACCCAAACAGAACTTCTGAAATTGAAAAATTTACTACAGGAATTTCAAAATACAATCAGAAGACTTAATTGCAGACTAGACAAGCAGAATAGAGAATGCCAGAGCTCAAAGACCACGTTTCAAATTAACTCAGTCAGACAAAAAGAGAGGGAAAGAATTTAAAAAATGAACAAAGTCTTCAAGAAATATTCTATGATATTATGTTAAACAACAAAAACCTATGACTTACTGGCATTCCTGAGAAAGAAGAAGAAAGAGTAAGCAAATTGGAAAACATATTTCAGGAAATAATTAAATAAAATTTCCCCAATCTTGTTAGAGACATTGCCATCCAGATATATGAAATTAAGAAAACTACTGAGAGATACTAAACAATATGACCATTCCCAAGGCAAATAGTCATCAGACTATTCATGATTAATGTGAAATAAAAAAAAATCTCAAAGGAAGCTAGAGAAAAGGGCCAAATTACCCATAAAGGGAATACCATCAGACTAATGGTGGACATCTCAGCAGAAACCTTATAAGCCAGAAGAGATTGGGGGTCTATTTTTAGCATTTTGAAAGAAAACATAAATGCCAACAAAGAATTATACATCCCACCAAACTAAGCTTTATAAACAAAGAAGAACTAATGTCTTTTCTAGACAAGCAAATGCTAAGGGAATTTGTTACCACCAAATCAGTCCTACGAAAATTTTTAAAAGAGTTCTAAAAATGGAAACGAAAGAATGATACTTGTTATCATAAAAGCACACATAAATATAAAGCTAACAGACCCTATAAAGCAACTACACAATCAAGATTACAAAGAAACTACCTAACGACACTACAACAGAACAAACTCTTACATATAAATATTAACCTTGAATGTAAACAGCTTAATTGCTCCATTTAAAAGATAGAGTGGCAAATTGGAAAGAAAACAAAATACAACCTTCTGTTGCCTTCAAAAGACCCATCACACATGTAACGACACCAATAGGCTCAAAGTAAAGTGATCCACCCACCTCAGTCTCTCAAAGTGCTGGGATTACAGGCGTGAGCCACTAAGCCCGGCCTTAACCCTAATTCTTAAAGTATGTGCACTGAGGATTTTCAAATAACGTTTGGACAAATACAAAAATACTGTTATAATTTCTTGTATCCTGGTTGCATCATTCATTATGTTATGTAAGAATTTCCTTTTTCTCTGAGATGAAATCGCTTTCTGCTACTAATACTTTCTATGTGAACATAAAATTAGCATTAACTCTTCATTGTTTTATTCCTTGAATAACTACTCTCAATGTATTAGTAGAGCTTACAAAAAACATAGATATTCAAGTCACCAGTTATGCAACTTTTTTTCACATCTCTAAAATATTGTAATGGACAGATGTATGTATGTATGTATGTATGTATGTATGTATGTATGTATGTATGCATTTGAGACAGAGTCTCGTTCTGTTGCCCAGGCTGGAGTGCAATGGCACAATCTCTGTACACTGCAAACTCTGCATCCCAGGCTCAAGCGATTCTCCTGCCCCAGCCTCCAGAGTAGCTGGGATTACAGGCACAGGCCACAGTGCCCAGCTAATTTTTGTATTTTTAGTAGAGATGGGATTTCATCATGTTGCCCAGGCTGGTCTTGAACTGTTGACCTCAGTTGATCCACCTGCCCCGGCCTCCCAAAGTGCTGGGATTACAGGTGTGTGCCACCATGCCTGGTCCGATTAACTCTTTCTTATTGGTATATTAGGCTTTTCTTATTGATGTGAACACACTCAATATTATACAAAATAAGTTATCATTCAAACTTGTGATGGTATTTTTTAATTACAGCAAAAATATACACATAAAATTGACTATCGTAATCATGTTAAGTGTAGATATCATAAGTATTAACTATATTCACATTTCTGTGCAACAGAGCTGCAGATATTTTCCATCTCACAAAACTGTAACTCTATAGCCATCAAGTAACAACTCCCCATTTCCTACCTGTTGTGGTGGTTTTAAATATAATGCAATATATACTAGCTTAAAATAGAAAAAAAAGGAATCCATGAAAATATTAAATGCATAGCACAAAAAATGAATAACAGTGTAACTTTGGTTATAACTTTAAATGAGAGAACCCAAAGTAAAATAATGGTATAAATATCATATAAAATGCACAATTTATACCTAAATTTTAAAAAATTTAATATTAACAAAAATAAATGTAATATACTACACAAATAGGTATTCAATAAAACTAAAGTTAAATTACTTTTTAAAACCATGTTATACTATGGATAAATCCTATTAATTTTTAAATATTTAGGAAAGAAAACAAAGTACATCTCTTCTTTAAAAAGTTTGACTCCAATTTTTAACAAACAGGTGTTTTTGGTAACCAGTTTATTTCCTTAGTGAAATTTTGAAGGCACAGAAAGAAGTAATATCTATTACATTGTCAAAAACAACAGTACCTGGAAGATTTAGAGGCAAAAAT
Organism: Homo sapiens; assembly: GCF_000001405.40. Classification (NCBI taxonomy): domain Eukaryota; kingdom Metazoa; phylum Chordata; class Mammalia; order Primates; family Hominidae; genus Homo; species Homo sapiens. The sequence goes on from NC_000018.10 coordinate 14,626,726, forward strand.
GAAGCCTGAGAATAGCAGGACATAGACATATTTCATAACATAGACTCATAGCAGAATGATGGTTATGTTGGTTCATCAGGGAAGAAAACACTAAACATCGCTTGCAAATCCACCCAATATACGATATCTTGTGACTTTAACAAGTTAGCCATGCAGAACCATGAGGCAAATGCAAAAACAAATAAATACACTAAAATAAATCCATTTTCTAGAAAAAAAATTAAAGTGAATTTTCTAGATTCACTAAAGAATTCAGTATTGGCTTATTATGTCTTCATTTTATTTTATACTGGAACGTGTCTAATTTTATGCTAAATTTATGCTGTAAGGACACCTACTCTGGAAAGGTTAAGAGGACACACAGTGGGTAGTGGACCATACTCTATTAAAAAAGAGCATATTTTGACACATGACTTTTGTGCCTCTACATTTTTAACTAAGGATAAAGAACCTGATGATTAATTAAATGATTTTTCAGTTGCTCATCAATGCCATCAGATGCCTTGAGTATACTGATGGGGGGGATGGCATTTGGAAGAAAAGGAGGAGACCTGAATAATACTTCAGAAGAAGTCTATTTCCACATCTTATTTTCCCTATCTCTGCAGCTCTGAATTTAATTATCTGTATTGTGAATCTGGGTGAACCACCTCAGAAGACATCAGGCAACCGGATGACTGCACTTTAGATTTCATGCTAGTGATTCTTATCCTCTCTCCACCCCGACACTTTGATACTTCCTTGAAATTAGATTACATAGGCGATAGAAACAAAGAATGCAGCTGTCATCATGACTCTTTCTCAGGGGCCACCGCATCTGTGTTCATGATGTGATTACTGTGCCACCTGCCTCCCTCTTCTTAAGGCCCTTTTTTATTCCTGGAGATGTGCTTACAACGAGATAGCTACAAACATATCATCTGCTTGCCCTGCCAGTTATAGCAATTATGAAAATAAATTTGCAGCATCATATATAGCCTGAATATTCTCAAAAGATGTTCCTAACAGTTCTAATCACAAAAAAAGTTTTCCATAGAATAGCTGTACCTACATGCTCTCTGCTTATGCAATCTTATGTTTTAATTAATCTTAAAGCAAAACTTTTCCTAAAATTTCAGAACTGAAGTCTTTTGTCATTATATGAAGAAAGACACAGTATCTAATATTGTGAACTTCTCTATTTTAAGAAGTTTTCAGACATCAAGTCTGCATAATAAAATTAATTTAACAATTTGGAATATAATTTTATAAATAAAAAAAGCTTTAAACTATATGTTACTAACACGTTTTTCTTCAAGTGTGGTTGCCCTTGCAACTTTTTGGTAGTTCAATGAAAACCACTACTTGAGAGAAAACTGAAATAGACTAGGACATAGAAGATAGATAAACAGAGAAAGAAAAGGTAAATTAACTATTTGTGCCACATGGCAAAGAAAGTTTACAGTATGTAGTCATTAATGTACTTGGTTATAATTATATAACCAACAATGAATAATTTTAAGTGCGATTTAGAATTCAAAACGTTTTATACTTGATATACATTTCTGAAAGAAACATGAAATCTACCGAATGAGGGAGATACTTTATATGTGTAATTACTTACACATGGAGAAAAGTTTTACAATAATTTTGATTATAAACTGTAATCAAGAGATTCAGTAAGAGTAGCATTTTTTTCTTCCACAAACCACTTTAATTGTGTGCTCACCACCTACTTCAGAATCTAAGAGAACTCTGACACCTGTTTTTGGCACCCCATTGCCTTCTCATCAGTCTAACTCCAAGACCTTCCTCCAAGTGGTAGGCTCTGGTAATTCAGCGAAAGCAAGGCACTAACAGGCAAGTGTGAAGCCAAATGGCTCCGAGTAACATCCCTGACACCTTTTTGCCAGCTATTCACATGTATTTAATATATACCACTTCCCTGTGACTGTCTGCATCCTCTTCTACCACCAATTCCTCCTGATTTATCCTTCTCCTCCAGCAATTCCTAATTTCTTTGCCTTTCTAATAGATGTGGCCTAACAGAACACCTTTGCTGGAGTTCTTTAAAGGCTAATTATAACCATAAGGAACAGGAAATAAGAAGCTATTCCTTGTAAGTTTGCTAATCTTATCTGTTCAGAGCAATAAAAGTTCCCCATCAAAGACTTATGAAGGGAGATTTCATTCCCCCAGCTTGCTATTCCTACTCTTTTTGCATTCTTAAGACAGGAGGCAAGTGCTTTACCTTTTCCTCGGAAAAGCTGAGGCTGAATATGCAAGTTGTCATGTAAATTTGCTGAAGATAATGAGAGGGTCACAAATTCAAAAACCCAGTTGCTCTAGGGCAGGGGGTTGGGAGGAGAGCCAATAAATAAAATGTGTGGTATAAATGCCTTTCAGGAAAGGGTGTGAAGGGTGCGGTGGATTTACCAGAAGCTTTTGCAATCAGCTTTGAAGTCTTCTAGAAAGGAAAAGTGTAGCCTTCCAGGGAAGCAGCCTGATGACATCTTCCATAAGGCTGATGTGTTGGGAAATAGCAACACATGAGCAAGAAGTCCCTTGAAAAATTTTCCTCCCTCCTTCTTCTTCTGGAACTGTTGGGAAACTAGGTAAGACCCAGGAGTCTGGTTTTTGAGAATGGCCCGGAATGAATTTTTAGTTTCCGGGTAGGAACAGAGAGCTCAGAAGGTTGTTCTTTCCTCCAAGGAAATCTGGCCATTGCTTTTTTCCTGTTCTATCCAGAGCTTGTGTGCTGGTGGATTAAATACATCTGTGCACAGGGCCAGGGTTCTGGCAAACAATCTCAGGGAGGACGGCAAAAGGAGAAGCAAAAGGGGATTGTTCCTCTACCTCACATCTTCTTTTCCCAAAGGAAACAGAATCTACTCACCAACAACAATCCCAACACCACAAAAGGGACATGGAAATAAATGTGCATGCAACTGGGACACATACCCTGTGTCACCTGCTACAAATGGAGAAGTGGGAGAGAATTGAGCCACTGGGAGCCTAGGCCTTCTGAGCTGTAGCTTACTTCCAGAGGATGCAGGCTTCCTCACTGGTCTCTGGGTGGCTGAGTAACTCTACTTCCCTGACCTGGGAAGGATGCGGGAATAACCAGCTATGAGGAGACACCCATCCTCTTAGGGCTGCCTGGGGTATCTTAAGCAGAGGTGGTAGCAGCGGACTCCTCAACAGAGGCACTGAGATCCAAGAATTCCAGGATAATGTCCCCAAGGCAGTAAATCAAATGCCTGTTGATGAGTGGTTGTTGTAGTGACTCCAAGACTAAACACTCAGCTGGCATTTGTTCACCCCAAGAATTTCTACTATGAGATCTGGGAAGACTCCCATTAGGCTCTGCAAAGCCTGTTTCTCAGCAGCCAGTTTCTGCTCCTGGGTCCTTACAGGCCGTGGAAACTTAGGCAAAACTCCACCAGGCCAGATGGACTCCTGAAGAAGCCAGAGGTACTGCACCCAGCACTGTGGACTTGTTAAATTAGCTACCTGCACCTCTAGCCACCTTTGAACTAGGGTACCAAAGATAAGACGAAGAAACTTCTGCATGTTTTCAGTACACAGCCATTTCCACTGTTCTGTTAGTAGCAAGAGAAGCAGATTCAGGGCTGTGTCAGCTAACTCTGTCTCTGTTCCTGAATCGCTGTTGCTGGGATCTTGGGCTGGCACAGCTGCATCTGACAAGCAACTGTCCACATGTCCTTTGGGAAGTTGTTCAGGATCTTTTTCTGGGGCTTCTTTTGGCTGCATCTCCAGTAACTTTGTCTGTTTTTCAATAAAAGATTCCATCCCAGACATGGATAGGGTCTTGGACTCCACATTGCCTTCCTGGAGACAATAAAGAATCTTGTCTTGTGCTTCAGTCACACTTAGTGCTGGAGAAATTTTACTGGATGAGAACCTCAGCCTGGACTTCCTAGCCTTCTTGCCTTCTGTTTGGGACTTGCTTTCAGTCTCGGCCTCACTCAGCTCCTCTGTGGGGCCCTGGGATTCAGAGCAAGGAAATGCTGTCTTCAAGTTGTCCACAATGGCACTCACCACCATCTTCTCTATTCTAGAGACCATAAATGGTTTCTTGACAAAGGAAACATGAGCATCTGTGTTCACAGCAAGAAACTCCTGCACCTCCTCACTGTTAGCGATCTCTGGAATGGCACACAATTGCTTCAGGAATTATTACAGGAGGCTCTTTCGGGCTTCTACTCTGTCACTGTCTATGTTTTCCAAATGGAAGATCTGGAAAGAGCTTTTTAGAACCCTTCACATTTTTAATGAACTTTCATAGATCTGGTTTCTTCTCCTGATGGCCTGCAGATTCAAGAACTCCCAATGGCGGTGATTCACAGTGTGGTAGGCCAGCTGCTGCAGGCTGCTGTTTTCACCGTCAAGGGATGTCTCACACTTCACAGTATAGCGTGTGCATGGGTACAATCCGGTGCCACTGTGCTCTCGGGCTGTAATGGTGCCAGTGATATGAAGGTTCTGGATGATAACTGGGCCATCTGGACTGCTTAGGGGCTCAAAGCTGAAGGTGGCTGAGCTGAGAGGACCAGGTGAAGAGGAGGAAAGCAGAACTGGTGGCAGACTAGGATCAAGGTAGGTCACATCATTGGTGAGATCCTTCTCTAAGCATGAGGGCCGTGAGGAGCAGGTCTTTTCCAGCCCCTCCATCAAAGCTGTAACAGAGGTGGTAACTTCTCCTTGTTCTATCTCCTTGTCTGCTATGTCAATCTGTATCTCTGGGCAGAAGTTCAGTGTGGAGACAGGCAAGACTGTCTCTGTTTCTGTCCCTGGACCCTCAGCCTCTACTCCTTCAGATCCCTCACCACCTTTGGGTTCCAGAGCCTGGGAACCCTCTAGGGCACACAGGGCATCCTGAATCCTGTCAGACAGAAAGTGGCCTGGAGTCATGAGCATGATGGTTTCTTAGCCTACTTCAGACAGCGGAGACTCCAGCTCTGAGTCTCCACATAAGAACAGGAGGCCTCAAGTATTTGGCTATAGGAAATGAGATGAGTTGTTTCCTACGTTTCTTTTTTCAGACATTCCACCCAAATCTCCCTCTACAGCTTCGTGGCCACCTTCAACCTCTGAGGAGGGGCCTGCAGGAATCTCTGGCTCACTGTTTATCTAGGAACCCTGGGGCTGCTACTGGAGAAGGAGCCCTCCCTTCTGGAAGCTGCTGTACCTCAGCAATAAGTGGCAGAGACGTGGGCACTGAGGGCTGTTCAGGGCCACTGGCTGGGCAGGGTGTTGGATCTCTGGCCTTGGAAAAGATACCCATGAGGACAAGGTGGATCCAGTCAGGATCTGACAGCCTGCTGATCAGTGGTAAGACTACACTGCATATGATGAGTTCAACCACTACATGGCATCCAGTATGAGTCTCCAAGTGGGACTTGGGCACCAGCCCTTGAAGCAACAAATTCACAATACCACATGTATAGATGACTTCAGCACTGGGGCTGTGCACAGCAGGATGTGGGGCAGTAGCCCAGCAGTAAGCCTCCCAGAGGTGGGAAGGCTCAACTGGACCATTCTTCCCTGTAGTGGCCTCCTTTGCCTGAATGTAGCTCTGCAGGTGAAAAACGACAGAGAGTAAGAACACTCTGAGCAAGAGCATGATGGTCCATCATGCTCATCCTCCTCTGAAGCTCCTGGACCAACTCTTTCATGGCTGCCTCCATTTCCTCTGCAAAGGCTGGCTCCTGGCTCTCAGAACGGTACCAGGATAATATAAAATCTCAAATAATCACATCTGGATGGTGCAGTTGATCTCCTGTTCCAGTTGTCTTTCTGTCTCAGGGAATAGAGGACAGGTGGCCAATGGGATGAAGCCTTCCAGGAGCAGTGGACTTGAAGCCACTCCAGAGACACTGGAGCCCAGCCATCCTCCCAGCACCACTAGCAATGCAGACAGAAGGCACAGCAGCCACATGCTGACCAGAAGGTGTATGACCAGGAGCCAGCAAGCAAGACCCCCACAGCCATCACCTTCCGCCTACTCAACAGGTTATTGAGGTGACAGCTGGATCCAGCTGGAGTCTCCTGGAACAATGGCACTGTTTCTGTCTTCATGGCTGAACGGACAAGGTGGCTTCCCCAGATGACAGCCTCAAGATTTTACTGCAGAGTTAGGGAAGGGGGGAATGAACTGTGTCCCCAATACAGGGTGATCTGGGTGCTGTTCAGGGAACTGACACTCCAGGCCCTCTAAGTCCTACAGGCACTGCAAAGCAACAGCAGCAGCTCTGCATTTGCCCATGGCTACCACCCACAGAGTCCTCGAACTCGCCCCTTCCAGTCGAGGTGTGGCTTTGGAGGAAAACTCTGCAGCCTTGATACTGCCCCAGGCAGAAGGCCTCTTCGCAGCCCTGGGGCCCGCAGAGGGCGGCGGCTGGCCAGGACTGGGTCACACGCTGCCGGGAACCATGTGCCCACACTCAGCCCCGACCTGAAGTGGGCTCATCGGGGTCATCTCCGCTGGCCTCGGCCTGCTGCTCCTGCAGACCTGGGTGACTGCACTCGCAGCCCTGCCTGTGTTAGGGCTGCCCGCCTGCCAGCCACCGGTGACCAACAGTAGCTTTTTATAACTTAAATTTTCTATATTTTCCTTGCATATATTTTTGACTTTGATCATGTATTTTATTTAACCTGCTAACAGAATGTACCTACAGTAAGATTACAATAAAAATTACCATGGTCCATGACAAATTTACTTGTAAGTGCAGTGGGAAAAAAAGTTTAATAAAAACAATAGAGATATACAATATGTGGCTTTTCACACAGTCTTTTGTCTCCCATATTATTCCTATCATTTATTCTATATTTCTAAGGTTAAGTAATGTTAAGATCAGGTACAAGCGTTGTAATGTGCTTTTAATTATGATATATAAATGTATCCCATGACAATTACATTATTTCAAGCTATGTACAATTTTAATAATAATTTTATACACGTTGCTTTGAAAATGAGAGCGCATTTGAATATAATCAATAATCACAAAAATATTTATCAGTGCAAATATTCTCAGCAAGATTTGAATTGTTGGTAAATTCAAAACAAATAGAATTAAATAGATGCTAGAGGAATTAGGAGAATGCAATAAAACAAGCAAAATTTTGTATGATTTTCATTTAGTTTATGTTAAGATGTTTTGAATTCAGATTAATCACATACCATGATATAATGTTTTTGGTTTTGTTTTTTTGAGACAGAGTCTTGCTCTGTTGCCCAGGCTGGAGTCAGTAATATGATCTCAGCTCACTGCAACCCCTGCCTCCCAGGTTCAAATGATTCCGGTGCCTCAACATCCCAAGTAACTGGTATTACAGGGGGGTGCCACCGTGCCTAGTTTTTTTTTTTTTTTTTTTTTTTAGTCAAGACAGGTGTTTGCCATGTTGGCCAGGCTGGCCTGGAACTCTTGGCCTCAAGTGATCCACCCACGTCAATTTCCCAAAGGGCTGAGATTACAGGCATGAGCCATGGTGCCTGGCCCTGATATAATGTTTGAAAGTAATGGGTGAATAGTACATTTGAGATACTAGAGACCTATTTGGAACATTAAGTGAATGTATCTTACTCTCTTCTTTCTTTTAAGAATGTATTCTTTACCATTCTATGCAATAGCTAACATACGTGCATATGTTCTTGGGCTGTCTACATGATATACAAATATTTGGATACATACAGTAACATAAACCACTCATCTAAAAGCTTTTCAACCTGACACATAAACTCGGGTTATTTGAAAATGGAATGGTAAGTGTTACTGAACAGCTTTTACTATGGTTCACGTTTGGTAGTATATGCTAATATACTAAAAACAAAACAAACACAAAAAATACCTTGATTTTATAATCTAACTTCTGATGTCTAAATTAATCAATAAGATAATTTTTCTATTTTAACTAACTGTATTATATTTTATTTTGATTCTGTGTAATTTCACAATGGATTAAATATTAGCTGATGCTCATCAGAGGTAAACTAGTGAATTATTATCCCATTAAGATAAATTTTGTTTCTGCTAAAGTAACATCTTATTTTAAATGGAGGAATTTACTAAATCAAGTGCTAAGATTTTATTTCTGCTAGTAAATGAAAGACATATGTAAAATTCAAATACATTCCATTACTCAAACTATTCTTTGTAATCATGAGAATATAGACAGCATATTTTACACAGAGCATACATACAAAGCCTTATCTTCATCGAATTGCAAGTAAAATATAGGTATGTAAATATATATACATAATTTAGATATTAAATGACAGAATTTACTTATTTACCTGTGCATGACAGAATTTGATTCTATTATTCCAGGTAGAGTAACTGGCTGAAAATGGGACATGAAGTAAACTAATAGTCTTAAAAGTGACTACATCCAGTGAATTCATTTTAACATCTCCAAGCAAGGCAAGACCACCTTCTTGAGATAAGGAATGAGGGATTACTTATTTTGGCCAAGTTGGCTCAATGATCTGGGGAACCAAAAACTGTATGTACATGGATAGTTGTTTTGTTCCCCCCACAAAAAAATTGGGGAACCCATTATTTCCCAATTCACGCTTTTATTTTCATGTAAGAGAACAGTTGATGCTCCAGAATCTAAAATTTTAATTAACCAAATACAATGTTCCTAAAGATAAACATTTCCTTAGAGTTAAGCCGGCCAGGCAAGGTGGCTCATGCCTGTAATCCCACCACTTTGGGAGGTCGAGGCGGGCGGATTGCTTGAGGTCAGGAGTTTGAGACCAACCTTGCCAACACAGAGAAACCCTGTCTCTACTAAAAATAGAAAAATTATCTGGACCTAGTTGTGTGTGCCTGTAATACCAGCTACTAGGGAGACTGAGGCAGGAGAATCACTTGAACCAGGGAGTGGGAAGTTGCAGTGAGCCAAGATCACGCCACTGCACTCCAGCCTGGTGACAGAGCCAGACTCCGTCTCAAAAAAAAAAATAAAAAAATAAAGATGGGGGGAAAATAGAGTTAGGATAACAGAAAGTTAAGGAATATGAAACAGAAAAAAATCAATAAACCAAAATGAAATGTTTGGAAAGATAAAAAAATTGGCAAATGTTTACTTAGGCTAAGCAAGAAAAAAAGAGATGAAACTCAAATTATTAAAATCGGCAATAAAAGAGAACACATCACTGGCAGTATTACAAAATAAATATGATTAAAAGAGAATGCAATGAAAAATCTTATGCCGAAAAAGTAAGATAGCCTAGACAGAATGAAGTCCTAGAATGACAGAAACTAAAACAGTCTAAAGGAGAAATTAAAAATATAAGTAGATCTATGGAAGGTTAAAACATTGGATTGTAATTTTAAAACCTTACAATAAAAATCTCATCTCAGCTAGCTTCCCAGGTGAATCAAACACTCTGAGAAATTAATATCAATTGTTCACCAACCCTTGCAGAAAATAAAAGGGCAGAGAACACTTCCCAATTCATTTTACAAACAGGATTACTCTGACACCAAAACTGAATAACAAAACAATATAGACCAGTGTCTTTAATTGTTTTATAAAATCAAAAATCTTCAACAAAATACTGCCAAGCTGAACCCACCAACATATAAAATAGATTATGCACTGTGTGCAGATGTGATTGATCCCAGGAATGCCCCATTGATTTAATATTTGAAAAATCAATGAATGCAAACACCATATTAACAGAATAAAAGACCAAAATATATGAGCATCTCAATAGACAGAAAGCATTCGAGAAAATATTACACATTTTCATCATGAAAACACTCCAGTTATGGACAGTAAGATAACTTCCTGAAACTAGTGGTAGTTACCTATGAAACCCACAGCTATCATTACACTCTGCAATGAAAGGGTGAATCCTTTCCTGGCATGGTTACTTACAAGAATGTCCACTCTTGCAAATTCTACTCAACGTTATACTGTGGATTCTAGCGAGGTGTATTTAGTAAAGAATAGAAAATTGAAAACATCCTGAATGAAAAAAAAATAAAATTATTTATATTTACAGATGGCATGATCTCATATATATGTAATTCTAAGAAATTCAGTAAAACTGTATTCAAAATAATAAATTTGGCATGGTTTCCAGATATAAATGTAATACTAAAAATTAATTTTATTTCTATATACTGTCAATGAACTGCCTTAAGATGATATAAAAGAAACAATCCCATTTATAATAGCAACAAAACAAGTAATAAATTTAGAAATTAACAAGAGCAGTTCAAAACTAATACTCTGAAACCTCCAAAACATTGTTGAAATAAACTGAAGAAGAACTAAATAAATGAGAAGAGGTGGAGCGAGATGGAGGATAGAATCTCAGTGACTGTGTCTCTGCAGGAATATTAAATTGAACCACCGTCCAACAATCCAAGCAAGATAATACCTTCACAAGAGCTAAAGAAAGCAGGTGACAGATCACAGAACCTGGTTTTAGCTTAAAAACAAGAGAACACACATTAACGAGGGTGAAAAGACAGTCTTGCAGTGACTGCACTGCCCTTCCCTCAACCCCAGGCAGTGCAGTGCAGAGAATGTGTCCACCTCTTGCAGGAGGGACAAGGAAGGGTCCGTGGGACTTTGCCTTGGAGCCCAGTGCCAGCTCTGCTATAGTAAAGGACAACACTGGGCAGAACCCCATGGCCTTTCGTTCCAGGCTAGTGCCCATAGATACAGCATTTAGACACGACCTGGTCTAAAAGGGAATCCACTACCCTGGTGGGACAAACCTGAGTCCTGACTTGCTTCACCACCAGCTGATTCAAGTGGCCTCAGGCCCCAAATAAATTTCAGTGGCAGGCAGGCCAGAGTCACTTTGGTCCTTGGGTGAGCTCCAACAACCAACAATGTGCTGGTCTGGGAGGCTGTGGGCTTCCTATGTGACATCAGCTGCAGTGGCCAGAGGGCTGCCTGTGTTACCCCAATCCCAACTCCAGGCAGTGCAGTGCAGAGAGAATTCCTTCCCTATGCGAGAAAGAGGAGAACCCAGTATCAGCCCTACTACAGTGGACACAGTGTCAGGCAGAATACTGTGGCCCTGATCCTAGGCAGGAGCTCCCAGACACCTACAGACCCCCCTGCAGGGAGAAGGGATTCTGCCACCCTGGCGGGATGGACCCAAACCCAGGCCAGCTTCATCACCAGCAGACTAACCTGGCTTAGAAACCTAAATAAGTCAGCAGCAGTCAGGCAATATAGTGGCCACAGGACTCAGATAAACCCCAGTGCTGCTCTGGTCTGGGAGGCTGTGGGCTTCAGGTGTGTTGCGCCAGCTGCAGTGGCCATGAGAGTGCCTAAATCACATGAGAGTGCCCAGATTCACAAAGCTTGGTGCCCAGATTCCTTGCAAGGGGAAGAAGATGGACGTGAAAGAAGAACTTTGTCTGGGAACCCAGGGAACCCCTCCCTTATCTTCTCCAAGTGTGTCACGGCCACCAGGGACCTCAGTCTGCAAAAGTCATGGTGAACCTGAGCTTAAGGTGCCCTCTGGTGCTGTAACAGCTGCAGTGACCACAGGCTTGGGGAACTCAACAGTCTTGAATTTCTTGGAATTTCTGGACGACTGAAGAAGGACAAGCACACACAAGAACAGACTGCAAAAAGTGGAATAAATACACACTTATTCAACTCCCCGGCATGAACATATGCTCAAAAACGTTAAGAACATTCAAGGAAATAAATAACAACAATAAATAAGTCACCAGTGACCAGAGCTACAGATGTGAGACTCGACTGGGTGTGGTGGCTCACACCTGTAATCCCAGAACTTTGGGAGGCTGAGGTGGGTGGATTACCTGAGGTCAGGAGTTCGAAACCAGCCTGACCAACAAGGTGAAACCCTGTCTTTACTAAAAATACAAAAATTAGCTGGGTGTGGTGGCAGGTGCCTGTAGTCCCAGTTATTTGGGAGGCTGAGACAGGATAATTTCTTGAACGTGGGAGGCAGAGGTTGCAGTGAGCCAAGATTGTGCCTCTGTACTCCAGGCTGGGTGATGGAATAAGACTCCATCTCACAAAAAAAAAAAAAAAAAAAAAAAAAAAAAAAAAAAAGATGTGAGACTCTCCAGACAGGGAAGTAAAAATGGCTGTTTTGAGGATACTCAATGAAATTCAAATACAGAGAAGTAATTCAGAAACTTATCAAAGAAATTTAACAAAGAGATAGAAGTAATTTAAGAAGATGACAGAAACCTCAAAGCTGAAAAATGCAACTGATGAACTGAAAAATGCATGAGAGGGCCTCAACAGTAGAACTAATCTCAGCACAATAAAGTTCATATATGAGAAATCCACAGCTAACATCATAATCAATGGGGAAAAGTTAAAAGCTCTTCTTCTAAGATCTGGAACAAGTGTGGCTACTTTTACCACTTTCATTCATCACAGTACTACAAGTCCTAGCTAGAGGAATTAGATATGAGAATGCAATAAAAGGCATCCAAAATGGAAATAAAGGGAGTCAAATTGTCTCTGTTTGCAGGTGACATAATCATACACATATGCAGAACCCTAAAGATTCCACAAAAAAACCTACTAGAAATAATAAACACATTTCATAAAGTTGCAAGATACAATATCAATATATAAAAATGAGTAGCACACCCATGTACCAATAGTGAAACACCTAAGAAAGAAATCAAGAAAGCTATTTTATTGCAGTAGTTACCCAATGCCCCCCAAAAAAGATACCTAGAGATAAGCTTAACAAAAAGGCGAAAGATCCCACAATTAAAATTATAAAACATAGACGAAAGATATTAAAGCAGACACAAGTAAATGTAAAGATATCCCATGTCCAAGCACTAGAAGAATATCGTTAAAATATCTGTATCACCCTATGTGATCTACAGAATCAATGGAATCCATGTTAAATTAGGAAAGAGATTCTTCATAGATATAGGAAAAAAAAAAAGCGGCCAGGCATGGTGGCTCACGCTTGTAATCCCAGCACTTTCGGAGGCCAAAGCGCCTGGATCACGTGGTCAGGAATTTGAGACCAGCCTGAACAACATGGTGTAACCCCGTCTCTACTACACACACAAAAATTAGCCAGGCGTGGTGGCGCACTCCTGTAATCCCAGCTACTCAGGAGGCTGAGGCAGGAGAATTGCCTGAACTCAGGAAGCAGTGCCTTCAGTGAGCCTAGATCGCGCCAATGCACTCCAGCCTGGGCGACAGAACAAGACTCCGTCTCAAAAAAAAAAAAAAATCCTAAAATTCACATGGAAATGCAAAATACCTCAGATAGACAAAAGAATCTTGAATAAAAAGAAAAAAGCTGGCGGCATCACACTACCTGATTTCAAAATATACCACAAACCTAGTAACCAAAACAGCATGGTAGTGGCAAAAGAAAAAAAATAGGTAGGGGATAGACAGAGCGAGAGAGAGACAGAGATACACAGACCAATGACTGACAGACATAGACAAATGAAACAGAATAGAGAACTCAAAAATAAATTCAAGCTTTTACAGTCAACTCTTTTAACAAAGGCACCAAAAACACACATTCGGGAAGGACAATCTCTTCAATAAACTGTGCTAGGAAAACCCAACACCCACAATACATGTAGGCTGTTATCTTATCATCTACTGAAAATAAAGATTTAAATGTAGGACATGAAACTATGAAACTACTAGAGAAGAAAACATAGGAAAATGCCTCGTGAAATTGGTTACAACGGATTTTCAAATACACATCAAAAACACAAGCAACAAAAAGCAAAAATAGACAAAATGCAGTTGCATTAAACTTAAACGCTTCTGCAAAGTAGCGAAAGCAATCAATAGAATGAAGAAACAATCCAGAGAACCGAAGAAAGTATTTGCAAACTATGCATCAGGCAAGGGGTTAATACAACAAAAAATATATAAAAAACTAAAACTACTCAAAGCAAAAATACAAATAATTTGATTTAAAACTCAGAAAAAGTTCTACCCAAAAACTTTGTCCCCAACCTTCTTTTCTCAACCACCTTTGGCCCCCTCCCTCTCGCCACCCTTTTTCTTCATCTACCCCAAAACATTTCTCCCACTATTTTTCCCCACTGTCATTTCGCAAAGCCTTCTCTACTCTCCTGCTCACCACCCTTTTCGCCAACCATCTACCCGAAAACTTTTCCCCCCTCACTGGATACCCTCTTTTTCTCCCTTCTGCTCTCATTCCCCTTTTGTTCCTCCATCTACCCAAAAACTTTTCCCTCATATTTTCCCAAAGCCTTCTCCCCATTCCTGCTGCTCGCCACCCGCTTTTCCAACCTCCATCTCCCCAAAAACGCCCTCTTCTTTCCACTATCCTTACCATCCTCCTTTTGCCCTCCATCTACCCCAAAACTATTTTCCCCATCGTCTTTTTCCCAACTCTTTCCCTCCTCCCTCTCGCCACCCTCTTTTATCCTCCCAATTGCCACCCTCTTTTCCCGCTGCATCTACCCACATTTTACCCACCGTCTATCTTTTCTTTCCCCATCATCTGTCTTTTCTACCCATCTTTTTCACAAAACCTCGTCTCCCTCCCACTCGCCATCCTCTTTTTCGTTCTCCCGCTTGCCACCCTCTCTTCCCCTCTCCCGCTTGCCGCCCTCTCTTCCCCTCTCCCGCTTGCCACCCTCTCTTCCCCTCTCCCGCTTGCCACCCTCTTTTCCCCTCTCCCGCTTGCCACCCTCTTTTCCCCCTCCATGTACCGAAAAACTTTTCTCTCCCCACTGTCTTTTCCTTACGGTCTTTTGGCAAAACCTTGTCTCCCTCTACTTGCCACCCTCTTTTGTCCCTCCTGCTCACCACGCTCTTTACCCCCTCCATCTACCCAAAAACTTTCTTCCTCACTGTCTTTCCCCCCTCACCATCTCTTCGCAAAGCCTTCTGCTCACCACCCTCTTTTCCCCATTCCTGCCCCTCCTCTTACATGCCACCTTCCTGTCGCCCTCCATTTACCCCAAAACTATTTTTCCATCGTCGTTTTCCCAATCGTCCTTCCACTCTCCCGCTTGCCACCCTTTCTCTCCTCCATCTACCCAAAAACTTCTCCCACAGTTTTTTCTCCCCACTGTCTTTTCTTCCCACCGTCTTTTTGCAAAACCTTCTCCTTCCTCCTACTCGGCACCCTTTTTTCTTCTCCTGCTCACCACCCTTTTTTTCTCCATCTACTGAAAAAAAATATTTCCCCACCATCTTGTCCCCATCGACTTTTCACAAAATCTTCTCTCCCTTCTGCTCACCACCTTCTCTCTCTTCCCCCCACTCTCTGCACCCTCTTTCTTCCTCCCGCGTGCCACCCTTTTCCACCTCCATCTACCCAAAATCTTTTTACACATCTTTTCTTTCCCCAATGTCTTTCTGTTGTCTTCACCGTGTTTCTCCCCACCGTCTTTTTGTAAACCTTCTCTCCTTCCTACTTGTCCCCGTTTTCCCCCCCTCACCACCCTCTCTTTCCTCCTTCTACATGCCACCCTTTTTTACCCGCCTGCTACCCAAAAACTTTTTTTAACCATCTTTTCCCCACCATCTTTTTGCAATGCCTTCTCCTGTTTGCCATCCTCTTTTCCCCTTGCCGCTAACCACCCTCTTTATCCCTCCATCTACCCAAAAACTATTTACCCCCTCCTACCAGTCCAGCCGAGCTGCCGTCTCTGTCGCCAGCACCCACCACAGCGAGGCGAGCCGTGGTGCCACACGCTCCAGCCTCCAGCTGTGGCAAGTGACTACCCCTTCTCCTGGTCCTCCAAGCCTGGCACGGAGCAGCTGCGCAAGCAGCCACACACGAGTCTGGAATGGCCTGACGCCCTTTCTGCATCCTTTATATGTGAGGTTATGCAAATGAGGTTCCTGGACTACATATTCTGATTGGATGAGAGAAAACTTCTAGGCCTATTCTGATTGGACTTTATTTTCATGCTGTGATTGGTTGTCCTAAGACTTGCTCTCATACAATCAGAATCGAAGCTGGGAGCTCAGCTTAGAGAACAGGAAGTGGGAGCCACGTACCCCGAGCTGGAGGCTTGAGCCTGTGGCATCTAGGCTCGCCTCACTGCGGTTGGTGGAGGTGACGGAGGTTGCAGCTTGGCCAGCATGGTAGAAAGGTGGCAGGGTAGGTGAGCTATCCAGGGATGCACTACCCTGGATAGGAGCACTATCAAGGTCACATTGCCGGTAAGGGTATCAGGGGCATGGGTTGGCAGAGTTGGTGGGGGCTATACTGCCTGGTGGTGAGGGTGGTTGTGTGTGCTACAGGGGGCTGACCGCCAGCTGGGGGGAGGGTTAGGGGTGCTATCAGCTCCTGCACTGTCATGACAGGGGGGGCAGGTTGGGGGCACTATCTGGGCTGTCACTACCCCCAGCAAGGGCTGGTTGGGGGCACTATCCCTGGCTGCACTGCTGGAGGCAGTGGGGCAGTTTGGGGGCACTATCAGGTTTACATGCCCTGTGGCATGCCAGTGGGGGGGCACTATTGGGGTTTGCACTGCACTGCTGCTTCTGGCAATGGGCTACGGAGGTGGCAGCGATAGCTGTGGCCTCCAAGGAAGGGGCCGTCCTCCTCTTCCCAGACTCTAGATTCTAGAGGGCAACCTCTGTTTGCTCGTGCTGGAGCGTGGCAGGTGCACAATGTTTCCTTGGGAATCCTGAGCACGGTAAGGCCCCCACACCCGCCATGGTTCCCGGGCCTGCACCCTCTCACTGTGTTGCAGAGACAATCTGGGACTCCTGGGCACGGAGTAGCGGGCATCACGGGGGAACAGGGCCCTGTGGGTGGAGGCATCAGAAACAGGAACTGGCACTTGGTTGGAGAGAGCTGGCTGGGTCTGAGTTTCTGCTTCTCCTGCTCACCAAGGAGTGCAGCCAGGGTGGGCCCAGCAGTTCCTGGCCAGCTGGACCTAGCCAGAGGCCAGTTTCAGCAAAGGCAGTCACACCCACCCCAGGTCCCAGTTGTGCCTTTGCCGAAACCAGCCCCTGCCACCCAGTGACCAGCATGACAAGGTGAGCCTCTAACACTACCACTCCTTCCATCCTGTTCTAGGCACATCTGGCTTTTACCACCCAGATGCTTCGAGCCAGGAGCTGGAGGAGTCATCTGTTGCACGCTGGAGGCTGGAGCCTGCAGATGGCATGGTTCTGTGGCTCCCCTCGCTGCAGTTGGTGGCAGAGACAGAGACTGCAGCTTGACCGGAGTGGTGGAGTGGTAGGAGAGTGTCTGCAGGGGCCAGGTGGTAGGAGGCTTGTAGGGTGGGCCCATGCATTGAGGGCAACAGCAGCAGTGGTCATGTTGGTGTTGGTGTTAGTGGTGGCAGCAGCAGCAAGTCTGGGATCCGAGAAGTGGGAGTGGGAATGCTGTGGAGCCCACCGGGCCCAGCCTGGCCTGAAGTGGGGAGGCAGCTGCAGGTGCTGTACCACGGGCCGAGGTGGCAGCAGTGGAGGCCCAGCCAAGGCAAGGAGGAGTCCTCCTCCTTCTCTTGCAGAATCTGGAGGTGCCCTCCTCCTGCTGGTGCCTGGGCCAGGTGTGAGTGGCAACATTGTCTTATTCTTAACAAAATTTAGGGGGTGACTATTGGTGTATCTTTTAGCTTGGTTTTGTTGTGAAAAGTCTTGAAATTTTTTCAAAGTTCATAAATCAGGAGGGGAAATAAGGTATCATAATAGGCTTTCTAATTCCCACACCTGTTCTTCTTCCTTTCTTTCAGTCTGTTTTTTCTTCTTCTAATCATCATCTTCTTGTTCCTCTTCATTTTCTTATGCTGCTGCTTCTATTTCTTTTTTATATTCTTGTTTCTCCTCCTCTTGTTTTCATTATCCTAAGCAATGGCCTTAACAAACAACAAACCAAAACTGAGTTAAACATAAACTATTTGTCACCGAGTTGTATTCTTAAAATAATCAGTCCATTACTATGCTTTAGAGATGAGGAAAAACATTGATTGCATAATTATTTGGTTACTTGAATAGCTATGCTTTTCATGATCCTGTTAATGTGTTGTAAGTAGTTATTCAAGGAATCAAAAATGAAGCATCAAATAAAATATTGCTAGCAAACAGCCATTTCATCTCTCTCACATAGTCTGGAGCTATGCAAGAGTCAGGGGGGTAATTAGTTCCAATTTATGAGATCATTAAGTGAACTGTATTCCTTTCATTTTATTTCTCTGCCACCATTTTCAAGAGTATTGTCATCTGCATGAGCAAATCTGGTTCATCACATCTTTGCAACAGGAAAAGGAAGGGAGGATCATGTGTATAATGTTTTAAGGCCAAGATTCACAACCAAAACAAAGTCTTTATTAACTTTTGCCTTCAAGAACCTGCAGTGTTGAGCCCTTTTTTATTTCTGTTATTATTACCTTTGGTATGAAATCTTTTTTTTAGTGAGTACTCTAGAAGTTTATGCATTTTATTGACTACTTTAAAGAAACAATCTATATTGCATCATTTTTCAAGCCCACAGAAATGCGTAAGGTCTATAATTTTGACGCTTTTTATTTTTAAGGTTATGAGCATGTAAAATACTGTTGATATGTGTAAGGATATGTAAAAATGCCACTAGATAGCTTATATTGAAGAGATAGTGTCTAAATTTTGGTCCAGAATGGATTGGTTGCTGTTTCTTAGGTGTGTTTCTCAATATATTGCCTCAATGTTTTAAAGCATATAGAAATATTAATACTATTTAACCTCATATAGTCCTTCGTAGGTTGTTTAATATTTCTACAGACTAAAGATATCACAGCCTCCGTTAATATTCAGTAATATTAATAAAATTTGGGATATATAGCGTTAGAATCCAAGAAATCCAGAGGAAAATTGTTAAATTATATAGCTGTAGAGCAGGAAATGAAACCCAGGTTCCAAGCTCTAAGGGGCCCACGAGCTACCATACAAGTGAATCAGTGACGGACATAGAGTTAGCAGAATTACAGGATGGTTAAAAGAGAGAGCTGTGCAGTCTAACACTATGTGAACATAAAATTTTAAACTGCATGGTGCCTCAGTTTATCTGTCTTTACAATGAAAGTAGTACTAAGTTTTTCTTTTCCTTCTTAGTTGTCTGAATTACTTTCCTAGTCTGTCTTGTTGCCACTCTCGATGCCCACATGAGAGGACCTGAGATAATTTCTGACAGCCTGAGAATCCATGGGAAAAACAGAAGGTGCCACAGACCCCCTTTTAGGAGAAACCTCTCTTTTCCTCATGGAATCCCAAGAACTGTAGGCAGACAGGTCCCTCTCAAAATCTAAGGCTCTATTGTTTTGCCTTGCATTACCTGATCTTGTTTGATTTGGGTGGGCATAAGAAATTAGTAGGGAGGAGAGATACAAAGAAAATTGTGGATATGAAGATGAGTTTATGGTTAGAAATGTTATGAAGAAATGTTACATGAGAGAGGAGCTGGTATGGCAAATTCTTGTCCTAAAGTAGAATGACTAATTAGGAAATAGGGAAAGATAGGACAAGTCATAAAGTTCAAGCATGTCAAAGAGAGTCTCCCTCTGTCATCCAGGTTGGAGTGCGGTGGCATGATCTTGACTCACTGCAACCTCCACCTCCCGGGTTCAAGCCATTCTCTTCCCTCAGCCTCCTCAGTAGCTGGATTACAGGTACCTCCCACTACACCCAGGTAATTTTTTGTGTTTTTAGTAGAGAGAGTTCACCATGTTGGCCAGGCTCGTTTCAAACTCCTGACCTCGAGTGATCCAAACAGCCTCGGCCTCCCAAAGTACTAGGGTGCCAGGTGTGAGCCACCATGCCTAGCCTTATCTATGATTTTATTTTGGCTTTCTTTCTCTTTCCCTTAGTCTAGTTAAAGCTTGTCAATTTTGATTTTTTTTTCAAACCCCCCCAGCTCTTTGTTCCATTGGCTCTTTGTATTTTTTTGCATTTTATATTTTTTGTTTCTATTTGTAAAATTTCTGTTCTAATCTTTCTGATATTCTTTCTACTAATTTTAACATTTGATATTTTTGTTTTTCTCATTACTTGAGGTGTACTGTTAGGTTGGCTATTTGAGATCTTTTTACTTTTCTGATGTAGGCATTTATAGCTGTGCACTTTTCCTCTTACAACTGCTTTTGCTGCATCCCACAGGTTTTGTTATGTTGTGTTTCTATTTTTATTTATTTCAATAAATTTTTAATTTTTTTATTTCTTTATTCATTGTTCATGAACATGTATTTTAATTTCCATATGTTTGTACAGTTTTTAAAGTTCCTCCTGTTACTGATTTCTCATACTATTCCACTGTGATCAGAAAAGATGCTTGATATGAATTCAATGTTTAAAAATGGGCTGTGACTTGTTATTTGGCCTAACACATAGTCTGTCCTGGAGAATAATCCATGTGCTACTCAGTAGAATGTGCATTGTGCAGTTGCAGAGTGGAAAGCTGTGTAAATGTTAGGTCCATTCAGTAGAGATTACAGTTTAACTGATGATTTTTTGTCGTTTGGGTGATCTGTTCATTGATGATAGTGGGGTGTTGATTATAGTTGAGTGTTGAGGTACTCTATTATTGTATTGCAGTCCATCTGTCCTTTAAGGTCTGTTAATATTTGCTTCTGTGTTTAGGTGCTTCAGTGTTGGTTGCATTTGCACTTATAATTGTGATACTGCTGTATTGATTTCTTTCTCATTATATAATTATCTTTGTATTTTATCTAATATAAGTATAGCTACTCTTGCTTTTTTGTTTCCATTTGTATGGGATATCTTTTACCATCCCTTCATTTTCAGTCTATATGTCTTTATAGGTGAACTGAGTTAGTTTCTTGTAGGCAGTATATAGTTGGATCTTGTCTTTAAATCCATTCAGCCACTCTGTCTTAATGGAGAATTTAATTCATTTATATTCAAGGTTATTACTAACAAGTAAAAACATACTACTGCCACTTTTACTTGTTTTCTGGTCGTTTTGCTACTCTCTTTTTTCTTTTGTTATTTCTCTCCTCATTTCTTCCTCTTTCTGTTCTCTCTCTCCTTCCTTCTTTCTTCCTTTCCTTTCCTCCCTCCTTCCCTTTCTTCCTGTCTGTATTTATAGTGAGGTAATTTTCTCTGGGAGTGTGATTTAATTGTTTGCTTTTTAGGTGTCTATTATTTTTAGGGTGTCTGTTACTGAATTTTGTTTTCTAGTTACCATGAGGCTAAAGAATATCATTGTAACCAGTGGTTTTAAACTGAGGAAAACTTAACTTTGATTGCAAAGAACAAAAAGGAGAGAAACAAAAAGCTATAAACATTTATTACCTGTATCCCCCCCAACACACACACACATTTTGACATTTGGATCTCTTCAATATCTTTTTATATTGACTCCCAATTTAAAAATTGTTGGGTTATTATTATTTTAATAATTTTGTATTTTAGCCTTTTGTTATTGTTAATTGCTGTTTGCACCATTGTTCAATAATGTCTTAATTTGTTCTAATAAATACATATATATATATATATATATATATATATATATATATATATATATATACACACACACACACACACACACAAATTTCTTAATGGCATGGGCATTTTCTTCACCATTGTTTTTCCAGCCTCTAGTTCCTATGGCCTAGCGAATAGAACGCTTACACTAAATGCTTGTCAGATGAGTAAAAGAGCTCTTTACAGTGAGCAGATCTTAACACGTTGCTATATGTAATTTGATTTGAAATAATTTTCCAATAATTTAACTCATTTTGTTCTGTTTTAAACTTCTATTTTTTGACTGGGGTACATGTGTAAGATACACAGGTTTGTTACATAAGTAAACGTGCATTATGGGGGCTGATTGTACAGATTATTGCATCACGCAGGTATTAAGCCTAGTATCTGTTAGTTATGTTTCCAGCTTCTCTCCCTCCCCCAACCCTCCACTCTCTGATAGGCCCCAGTGTGTGTTGTTCCTCTCTATGTGTCCATGTTCTCATCATTTAGCTTCCACTTAAAAGTGAGAACATGCAGTATTTGGTTTTCTGTTCCTGCTTTAGTTTGCTTAGAATAATGACCTCCAACTGCATCCATGTCCCTGCAAAGGACATTATCTCATTTTTTTTTGTGGCTGCATGGTATTCCATGGTGTATATGTACCACATTTTCTTTATCCAGTCTGTCATTGATGGGCATTTGGATTAATTCCATGTATTTGCTATTGTGAATAGTGCTGCAAGGAACATATGCATGCATGTCTTTTTGCAATGGAACAATTTATAATCCTTTAGGCATATACACATTAATGGGATTGCTGTGTCGAATGGTAATTCTGTCCTTAGGTCTTTGAGGAATTACCACACTGTCTTCCACAATGGTTGAACTAATTTACACTCCCACCAACCATGTAAAGTGTTCCCTTTTCCCCACAATCTCACCAGCATCTGCTTTTTAACTTTTTAGTAATGGTCCTTCTTACTGGCATGAGTTGGTATCTTATTGTGGTTTTGATTTGCATTTCTCTAATGATCAGCGATGTTGAACTTTTTTAATATGCTTGTTGACCACATGTATGTCATCTTTTGAGAAGTGTCTGTTCACGTCCTTTGCCTGCTTTTTAATGGCCTTGTTTTTTTCTTGTAAATTTGATTAAGTTCCTTGTAGATGCTGGATGTTAGACTTTTGTCAGATGCATATTTTGCCAAAATTTTATCCCATTCTGTAGGTGTCTGTTAGTTCTCATGTTCGTTTATTTTTTTCTTTTTGCTGTGCAGAAGCTCTTTAATTTGATTAGATCCCATTTGTCAAGTGAAAGAGAAACATTTTATAATGATAAAATAATTGATTCATTTAAAAGACAAAACAATTTGAAATGCATATGCTCTTAATAATATAACTTCAAATTATATAAAGTAAAATTTTACATAGCTAAAAATGAACAGCCAAATTCCTAATCTAAAGATTTCAAGTGGGGTTTATACCAGGTATGCAGGGAAGGGTTAACATATACAAGTCATAAATGTGATACATCACGTAAACATAATTAAAAACAAAAATTATACGATCATCTCAATAGACACAGAAAAAGCATTTGGCAAAATTCAGAATCCCTTTATGGTTAAAATCTTCAGCAAAATTGGCATAGAAGGGGCATATGATACAAGCCATCTATAACAAACCCACAGCCAACATCAGACTGAACAGGGAAAAGTTGAAAAGCATTCCCCCTGAGAATATGATGCCCACTCACCACATCTATTAACCATAGTTCTGGAAGTCCTAGCCAGAGCAATCAGATGAAAGAAAGAAAGGGCATCCAAGTCAGTAAAGAGGAGGTCAAACCGTCACTGATTTCCAATGATATAATTGTGTATCTAGATAACTCTAAAGACTCATCTAAAGAGCTCCTAGATCTGATAAATTCACTTAAGTTTCAGGACACAAAACATCAATATACACAAATCATTAGCACTGCTATACACCAACAACAATCAAGCTGAGAAATCAAGAACTTAATCCCTTTTACAACAACTGCAATATACATATATATGTATATAAACACACACATAAATATATGTATATACATATGGATATGCATATAATATACATATTATATACATATGGATATGCATATAATATACATATTATATACATATGGATATGCATATAATATACATATATGGATATGTATATGCATATAATATACATATTATATGGATATGTATATGTATTATAGCATACATATATGGATATGTATATGTAGTATAACATACATATACACGTGTATATGTATTATAACATACATATATACATATGTATATGTAATATAACATACATATTATATACATATGTATATGTATATAATATACATATTATATACATGTGTATATGTATTATACATATTATATACATGTGTATATGTATTATACATATATACATATGTATATGTATTATAATATACATGTTATATACATATGTGTATATGTATTATATACATGTTATATACATATGTATATGTATTATAATATACATATGTATATGTATTATGATATACATATGTATATGTATTATGATATACATATGTATATGCATTATGATATACATATGTATATGCATTATGATATACATATGTATATGCATTATGATATACATATGTATATGCATTATGATATACATATATACATATGTATATGCATTATGATATACATATATACATATGTATATGCATTATGATATACATATATACATATGTATATGCATTATGATATACATATATACATATGTATATGTATTATGATATACATATATACATATGTATATGTATTATGATATACATATATACATATGTATATGTATTATGATATACATATGTATATGTATTATGATATACATATGTATATGCATTATGATATACATATGTATATGCATTATGATATACATATATACATATGTATATGCATTATGATATACATATATACATATGTATATGTATTATGATATACATATATACATATGTATATGTATTATGATATACATATTTAATACTTATACATATGTATATAATATGTATATAATATACATATTATATACATATGTATATGTGTTATACATCTGTATGTATGTATATGTATTATACATATATACATATTATATACATATGTATCTCTTAGGAGCATCCAAAGCCAAGGAGGTGAAAGATCTCTTCAAGGAAAATGGCAAAACACTGCTGAAAGATATCATTGACCACAGAAACAAATAGATAACACATCTCATGCTAATGGATGGGTAGAATCAGTATTGTGAAAATGACCATACTCTCCAAAGCAATATACAGATTCAATGCAATTCTCATCAAAATACCATCATCATTCTTCACAAAACTAGAAAAAACAATCCTAAAATTCATATAGAACCAAAACAAGAGCCTGCCTAGCCAAAGCAAGACCAAACAAAAATAATAAATTTGGATGTATCACATTACCCAACTTCAAACTATATTACAAGGCTATCCTTACTGAAACAACATGGTACTGGTATAAAAATAGGTACATAGACCAATGAAACAGAATAGAGAACCCAGAAATGAAACCAAACACTTAGCAGCCAACTGATCTTCATCAAAGCAAATAAAAACATAAAGTTTGGAAAAGACACCCTATTCAACAAATGGGAATGGAATATTTGGAAAGCCACATGAAGAAGAATGAAACTGAATTCTCATCTCTCATCTTATACAAAAATCAACTCAAGATGGATCAAAGACTTTAATATCATAAACCATAAAAATTCTACAAGATAAGATTGGAAAAAACATTAAAAACATCGGCTTGGTTCTTCATGACCAAGAAACCAAAATCAAACACAACAAAAACAAAGATAAATAGATTGAACATAATTAGACTAAAAAGCTTCTGCACAGCAAAAGGAAATAATCAGCAAACAGACAACACATAGAGTAGGAGAAAAACTTTGCAATCTATACATCCAACAAAAACTCATATCCAGAATCCACAAGGAACTCAAACAAATCAGCAAGACAAAAAAAAAAAGTCCATCAAAAAGTGGGCTAAGGACATGAATAGAAAATTCTTAAAGAAGATATACAAATAGCCAACAAATATATGAAAAAAATGCTCAGCATCACTAATTATCAGGGAAATGCAAAGTAAAAACACACTGAGATATCACCTTATTCTTGCAAGAATGGCCATACTTTCAAAATATAATAGATACTGACATGGATGTGGTGAAAAGGGAACACTTTTGCATTAATGGTGGGAATGTAAACTAGTATAACCACTGTGGAAAACAGTATGGAGATTGCTTAGAGAACTAAAAGTAGAACCTCCATTTGATTCAGCAATCCCATTACTGGGTATCTACCTAGAGGAAAATATTTCATTATATGAAGAAGACATGCACATGCATGTTTATAGCAGCACAGTTTGCAATTGTAAAAATATGGAACCAGTCTAAATACCCATCAACCAATGAATAGATAAAATGTGGCATGGAATACTACCCAGCCATAAAAAGAAATAAAATAATAGGCCGGGCACGGTAGCTTATGCCTGTAATCCCAGCACTTTGGGAGACCGAAGCAGGCAGATCATCTAAGGTCAGGAGTTCAAGACCAGCCCGGTCAACATGGTGAAACCCCATCTCTACTAAATATACAAAAATTAGCTGGGTGTGGTGGAAGACACGTGTAAGACCAGCTACTTGGGAGGCTGAGGCAGGAGAATTGCTTGAACCTGGGAGGCAGAGGTTGCAGTGAGCCAAGATTGTGCCATTGTGCTCCAGCCTGGGCAACAAGAGTGAAACTTTGGCTCCAAAAAAGAAAAGAAAAGAAAAGAAAAGAAAAAAACGTGAAATAATGGCGTTTGCAGCAACCTGAATGGACTTGGAGGTTATTATTCTAAGTGAAGTAACGCGGGAGTGGAAAATCAAACATTGCATGTTCTTAGTTATAAATGGGAGCTAAGCTTTGAGGACACAAAATCCTAAGAATGATATAATGGACTTTGGGGACTTGAAAGGAAGTGTGGTAGGAGGGTGAAGGAGACCACACATTCTGTACAGTGTACACTGCTTGGGTGATGGGTGCATCAAAATCTCAGAAACAATTGCTAAATAACTTATAATGTAACCAAAAACCACCTCTTCCCCTAAAAACTATTAAAATAAAGACAATTTAACACCTTTCCATCACCACTTGATCAAATGAATATCAGTATGAAAAAAGAAAAGTTAAAAAATAAAACAGAAATAAATATTTGACATTTATAACCAATTAACTATATATATATATATTTTTCCATTGGTAAATATTACCAAACATTTAACAAGATAGAATATATGATGAGTTATACGTTGTCTCAATATATTTGAACTTTTTGTGTCATAGAAAGTACATTCTCTGATCACAAGCATATTAAGTTAAAAATAAGTAAAAATCAGATACTTAGAAAAACACAAGCTATCTGGGAAATAAACCATAAACCTCTGTACATTCTGTAACTAATGTTTTAAAAATTCCTTATATTGGGGTGTGTGTGTGTTTTGTTATTAGACTTACCATATGTCAAATAAATATATCAGTCTTTCGCAGAACAAATTTTTCCTTGTATTTTTCTCTGTCCTTAATTTCTACTTTTATATTTGCTGTTGCCGTTCTTCCTCCTTTAGTTTTAATGTAATCTGTTTTTGTAGCTTATCGTGGATGTTTAGAAAATTGATTTTGCATTATCTTTTTTAGGATCAATACACAAGACTATAAATATTTTTAATACTGCTATGTTTGCATCCCACAAATTGTGATATATAGTAGTATCATTATTTTTCAGTATGAAAGGTTTTCCAACTTCCCTGTGAATTTTTTCTTTGATTCAAGTACAACTAAGAGAATGCCTTGAAGGAACATAATGTCTGCATCTTTTCAGGAAAAAGACAATGATAAACAATTATAGTACAATGTTACAGTTGGGGACTTTTGATACATGGTAATTATTGGTATTATTAAGTCAACTTTTCTGTAAGTCGGCAATTATGCCAAAATGAAAATTTTAAATTAAGTAAGGCTTTTACTCTATTAAAAAACACTTACATCAGGAACTCAAGGATAATACAGCTTTAAAAAACTTATGTAAACATGTCATATTAAAAGATTAAGGAAGGAGGATTATACAGTTATCTCTACAGTTTTAGAAAAATACACCAAAAAATAAATATTTACTCCAAATTTTAATAATAATTCTTAGAAACCGTAAGATTGAAAGTTCTTGTTTGGATAGAGCACATGTATGAGAAATATATTGTATATTATGTTTAAAGCAAAACATTAGAAAGATATCTTTTATTTTGGAAACTAGGATGCCTGTTATAATTAATTTTAAATGCAAAAATTGAGATGATTTTCAATAAAATAAGAGGAATAAAACTGGAAAATACATGAAAGAGTGAATATCAAGCAGAATCTAGATTCTTATGTATTGCAGAAGTCATAATGATATGGTTAAGATAAAAATAACTAGGCCAGGCATGGTGGCTCAAACCTGTAATCCCAGCACTTTGGGAGGCCGAGGCTGGTGGGTCATGAGGTCATGAGTTCAAGACTAGCCTGGCCAAGATGGTGAAACCTCGTCTTTACTAAAAAAACAAAAATTAGCCAGGCATGATGGTGGGTGCTTGTAATCCCAGCTACTCTGGATGCTGAGG
Organism: Homo sapiens; assembly: GCF_000001405.40. Classification (NCBI taxonomy): domain Eukaryota; kingdom Metazoa; phylum Chordata; class Mammalia; order Primates; family Hominidae; genus Homo; species Homo sapiens. The sequence goes on from NC_000018.10 coordinate 14,654,857, forward strand.
CAGAGAACTGCTTGGACCTGGGAGGCAGAGGTTGCAGTGAGCTGAGACTGCGCCACTGCACTCTAGCCGGGGCGACAGAGCCAGGCTCTGCCTCAAAAAAAAAAAAAAAAAAAAAAAAAAAAGAACTAATAAGATTGTATAGAACATGGTTAATTGTAAGGTCAGCATAAAACAAATAACATCTTTCTTATACATTATCAAAAGAAAAATGAAAATTATATAAGAAATTCATTTTACAGAGGAAATTTATGTCTACATGCAAATTGCCTAGGAATAAATTAACAATAAATACATTGGAATATGGAATATAATCTATTAAAATTTACTGAACTATGTAAAAGAAAAAAATTAGAGAATTGCTTTTAATGCGTGGCATAAGTCAATATTTAAAGACCTCAATTTTTTCCAGTCTCTCTCTCTTTTTTTTTTTTTTTTTTTTTTTTTTTTGAGACAGGGTCTCGCTGTTATCGCCAGGCTAGCCTGCAGTGGCACCATCTCAGCTCACTGCAACCTCCGCCTCCCGGGTTCAAGCGATTCTCCTGCCTCATCCTCCTGAGTAGCTAAGACTACAGGCACGTGCCACCACACCCAGCTAATTTTTGTATTTTTAGTAGAGACAGTGTTCCACCATTTGGCCAGGATTGTTTCAAACTTCTGACCTCAAGTGACCCACCTGCCTCAGCCTCCCAAATTGCTGGGATCATAGGCATGAGCCTCCATGCCTGGCCTTTACTATTAATTCACAGTAATATCAGTCTGTTCCATCTAGGATACTTTTTGAAACTTAATAATTTCTTTCTAAAGTTTATATGGAAGACTAGATGGGTGGAAGTGGGAATTACAAAGAAACATTTAAAAAGAGTAAAATGTTTTACCAATTTAAGGATCCCTGCCTATACTTATAAAAATACGATATTTATCTAAACATGATAATTATGTTAATTCAAACCAGACAATAATGATGGAATAGCAAAATTAAATAATGAAAGAGGAAGACTAAATATATGTACTATAGCTCAGATTTTGTTAAATTTGGATTTTCTTCTTCTTTTTTTTTTTTTTTTTTTTTGAGACAGAGTCTTGCTCTGTCACCCAGGCTAGGGTGCAGTGGCGCGATCTCGGCTCACTGCAAGCTCCACCCCCCGGGTTCACGCCATTCTCTTGCCTCAGCCTCCTGAGCAGCTGGGACTACAGGTGCCCGCCACATGCCTGGCTAATTTTTTGTATTTTTAGTAGAGATGGGGTTTCACGGTGTTAGCCAGGTAACTCCTGACCTCATGATCCACCCATCTCGGCCTCCCAAAGTGCTGGGATTACAGGTGTGAGCCACTGCGCCCGGCCAAATTTGGTCTTTCAAAGCAATGTTATTATTCAATATTATTTATACCACACAGATGTAAATGCTGTATTATGCTGAAATATTTAAGCATTTGTTTTTGTGCCCCCAGTCAAATGATCACAGATCACATACATCTATGATATGTATATAATAGTGAAAATCCTACATCCCTGAGATAATTACTTGTTGATTTGATTTCTGCTATTTTCTGTTACTAGATATACTGCATTTATGTTTTTAAATAGAATTCATCTTGTGTGTGTAGTGCATACACATGTGAGGTGTGCACACACACATGCACACATATGCCCTCATATGTGTGCATAAGCATACTCAGGTACACTTATTTTTGAGTTTATACTAGCTTTGTATGAGTAATTTCTAGTTTTTTTGTGTTTTTGTTTTGAATCAATTTATATACTAAGGAAATTATGCATTCTTTCTTTTCCTTTCTGAACTATGAATTCTGGGCCCAGGGACTTTATTAGAGGAATTCTTTGATGAAGTTCTTTGATAACCTTCTCATTAATTATTTGTATGACAAATATTTTAGTATTGATTTCTTCTAGAGTCAGTTTTGAATATTTCAGACCACACATTTTAAAAAATGATTTGAGATTGGCACTTCATTTTTGGTTTATATTATGTCATTAATTATAATTCCTGTTTTTTCTCCTGAGTTTTCCATATTCTGTTTATATCATTGTACTTTTTGAGTAGCTAAATATATTTTTAAAAATATTCTCATGCCATAGAAGAAAGAGCCTAAACACCTTTTGTGTGATCCATATCACTAGTTAGAATAAAGATCAAATAAACAATTTTAAATGCTATTAAGTTTTGATCAAATATTATTTCTCCACACCAGAATACCAAGTGAATGATGTGAAGTGTAAACCAACCATTGTTGTGTTTCATGTTACTGTCATACACTTGTTTCCTTCAGCATAATGTTAGCAAAAATTGTGTGTGCAGTCATCAGATAAATTTTCTGGGCATGATTTCCTTCCAGATGTAATTTTATGATCATCCATTTTCCAATTTCCTATGAAATTCACTCATTTAGTAAGAATTTAGTGAATATCTTCTGTGCACACTGCTTTGTACTGAAATTGGTGATTTAAAAAGAAGTTAAAATGTGTTCTTTATTAATACTTTTTGGGAACATTCATTGTACGTGTGCATCAAAGACATGCACATAGGAAGAATCTGCAACAATTTAATTTACATACAATATGAACTATAAAAATGTGTGATACAGAAACTGTGTCTAAAATAACAAACTAGCCCTGCAGGAAATAAATTAGAAAGACAATGAGAATCTGTACTTGAACTGGACATTGAATAATAAGTAAATTTTAAGAGCCAACAGGAATAGAAAGACAATTGGAAAATTAGGTATATGAAAATAATATTTTTTGAAAACCTCTTTTCTGTTTTTATTCCGTTAAAATTTTAGTATGTTGGCGCAAGATAAATCTAAGAGATTACCATAGAATAGTAAATATGTGCTATAGACCTTAATGGTTGTCTAATTGCAGAAGTTTATTATATGGTTTAAGTCTGTATTGATTCAGAAAAAAATGCATTATTTTTATATTTACTTTCCCTGCTGAGTCATTTGGCCTTCTTTTTAGAAATGTATATGGGTTATTCACATTATATCAACCACATGTATAGACAATTGAAGAAAGCTGTAAACAAAAAGAAATTGCTCTGATCCTCACATAATTTATATTCTAGGAACAAAAGATACAATTTAATAAACAAGTCAGATAATATGCACTTTATGACAGGAGACATTATCCATGTCAAAGGTTCATAAACAGTCCCCTGGATATGACCACGGCATGCCGATGTATGTATTGTGGAAATATCATAATGTTGTAACCGAGCGAGTTGTAGTTAACTGCCACACTATGAGACGAATTCAGGAGTCCTTTATTAGCCGGCAACCGAGAGACCCTTAGTGCTCAAAATTCTCTTGGCCCCGGAGAAGGGGCTAGATTTTCTTTTATACTTTGGTTTAGAAAGGGGAGAGGGAGCTTAGCTGAAGCAATCAGCTGAGTAAAAAAGGCAAAAAAGTTAAAAGGACAAATGGTTACGGGAAAACAAACAGTTCCAGGTGCAGGGGCTTTAAATCCATCACAAGGTGATAGACCTGGGGGCTTTGGGTGCTATCAACGGGACACAAACCCCGGGGGCTTTGGGTCCTATCAACCGGGCGAATTCCTGGGAACTGCGGATATAGCTTGCCACAGTGTCTTATCAGTTAATCGTGTTCTTTGATGTGCTGGGAGTCAGCCTGCACAAGTTAAGTCCTTGAGAAAGCGGGGTGGGTAAGAGGCTGCAAGGGGCTGCAAGTGAAGGAGCCAAACTGGAGTTTGTGTGGCTCTCTCAGCTAAGGGAGAGTCAATTCAGGTTAAAACAAGGCAGGATATCACAATAAGACCTTCCGTGTGAAAAAGAATTGAAAGGAATCCTAGACTCGAGCAAATATGTAAAAAGTTTTTATAGAATGTTAAGCAGGAAATGATTGTGATTTGAAATAACAGGTTATAGGTGGGAATGGAAAGAGTAAATAGACCAAGGAAACATTTGAGAGAAACATACTTTCTGATGTTGTATTTATGCTGCAAGGGAACAGAGAAAAGGTATAAATGATTATTTTTCAAATTTTTGGCTTAAAAATGTGTTAATCCAGTGCCTGATACAGGGGGTATTAGTTAAGACTAACTGCTTTGGTTGCCAGGTAAAGAAACTCTACTTTGTCAGGAAAAGGCGGGAGTCAATAAACTATGATCCACAGCTAAATTGGTCTTGCCATCTGTTTTTGTAAATCAAGTTTAACTGCAACACAGCCATATCCATCACTGGAGCTTAATAGTTGCACCCAAACCTTATGTTCCATAAAACCTAAAATATTTGCAATCTAGCCCTTTACAGAAGATGCTTACTGACCTTGGGCTAAAACAGAAAATTAAAATTCGTCAGTGTTCAACGTGTTTTCAGGTGTTCAGACAGTGTTATCCGGACTCTGCCTCTGCATCTTTCAGTTCTGCCTCAACATCAGCTCCTGCTTCAGTAGGCTCAGAAGGTGCTTCATGAGACAGCAACATTACCCTATCCATTTAGAATCCAGAGGGAGTAAACTTTGTCCAAAAATTTTAGCTAAGTTCATGGAAGTCACTGTCTCTACTGAGGTCTGGATTTCATGGCATCTATGGAGTTATAGGTGGAATAAAGTCATTTGGACTGATTTCTCCAAAGGAAAATCATGGTACTATTATTACCCACACCTGATGTCCAGCATATTGGGAACATAGGAGAAGCATAAGGTCTTGAAAGAGAAAAAAATACTTAATTTTAGTCATAATGAGTTAAAAAGATACAGTAATTAAAAAAATGAATACTCATGCAGAACATATGAGCTAGATAAAGTTTTGGTCTTTGGAGAATTTTATCTATATTGACTCTATTGTCTCTCACAATGCTGCTGTGAAATACATATCTCCATTTTTCAGATGAGAAAATTTAGGGAAACTGATATTCAGAAATAATAGCAACCAGCTAATACTGTTTATTTACTATTTGCTAAATAATTTCCTAAATAAATTTTTAAAGTAATTATCTTTCCTGGCAATGAATAATTATCGAGAAGTCACTGTTACAAGCATCAAATGCCTAGCTATGTACAAAAAGACAAAGTTTCTGCTGTCTGGGAAATCATGCTACTATGACATAATAGTAAGCAGGTAGAAAAAGTTGGCTTTCAATACTTAAATACCATCAGCAAAGTGTGACGGGAGGCCTTCATTTTAAATGAATGCTGTATGTTTAGCCCAACTCCCTCTAAACATAACTGATATATGAATTGATATCATACTAGATATTTCTGTTTTTGAGTCTCAGCATAATTTCGAGTGGAGAAAAAATATACATACATCTTTATCTGCGGTGAGATGCTCCCTCTATGTAGAGAAAATTGAAATAGAATTGTGTTGTTTCAGAAAAGCAAGATTAAATTTCTTTTGTTTAATAAATGTAAATTATTTACTTATTGAAAGTAGGTAAGGGAAAGATCGTGATCACAGTTAATGATTATTGAGTCCTTGAAAAACACCAAATAGTCTTCACTTAAAGCATCTTTAGATTGACTGGCATTATTATAAACCTATTTTACCAGCATAGAAATTCTTGTGGTCAGCGGGCTGTTAATGCACCATATGCCGTATAGTCAGGATTTGAACCCAGTGAGATACAGCTAGAGTAGCATGCTTCTACTCACCACACCATGATGCCTCCATAGAACCCCGTGGTTTTCATTGGTGCTTCTTGTTCTCTTGTCTCAACTGTGAAAACATCTGAGACTTTGCAGTTGACTCAGAGAAGTAGAAAGGAAATTGCAGGCCCTTTCCTGATAATATCAGGGATAGGAAAGTGACTGCAAACATTGAACACAATTTTAAGAGTAAGAAATGCTTGGACTCACTATTTCCTGAATCGCATAGTGCAGAATATGAATTCAGGCAGTGGCTGACTTTGTCCTCCAGCTGTATAAACAAGGCAGTAGACTCCAGGAGGGAATCTGAGATAAGTTTTTTAATTTGTTTTAGTTATTAGTTTTGTAACCTGTGACACCTGGAGGTGCAGTTTCTGTGGTCCTCTTTAACGCTAAACGGATTATGGAGCAAGTTGATAATAGTCCATCACCTAGAAAACAGTTACGAAGAACAGGCCTCAAAAAACAACTTCATTAACGTCTATGTTTTTGGAAAAGAAATTCTCCCTTATGCTTTTCACAGTTACAGAAATCTCAGGCACAAGAAAGCCTTTTCCTAAGTATTAGCATATGCATTTTTTTAAAACAATGAGAATGTTTTAAATGTTACAAAGAAAATATAAGGAGACATAATAGTTACATTTCAATAATACACTTATGTACAAAGTAGTAAAAATCGTATGTTGTAATAGATGGGAATCGTATGTTGTAATAGATGGGAAATAGTAATTTGGTTCAAAATATTTGGAGCATGTTCATTAATCTAGATTAATACATTGTCTAATTTAGATAGAAATAACATTTTTATTTTATAATTATATAAGAACATAGCTATTTTTCAAATTTATACATTATTTCCTTAGAATCTGAAACTAAAATTTGGTTTTAACTGTATTGTCACCTTAGTTTTTCTTTTCGGAGATATGTAGTTTAGGTCAGCTTAGTAATATCCAGAATTTACACGTGTAAAATTTAGCAGGATTTTAAGATATACCGATATTGTCAAGAAAGTATTAAATAAATCATAAATTAATGAAAATTAATGATAAAATAATACTAACAATAATCATGGAAAACATTGATCTTACTATCCTTGAAATACCAAAGAATTGGCACAATGATGGGATTTTTTTAGATTAAATGATCTAAATAATTGCTTCCGTCTTCTATTATACTTTCCCAAACTAGATTCTTAGGACTTTATGATATGTGGTAGTTAAGAGTATACAGAATGGAAGAAATAACTTCCAGTAAGTTGTTTGCTTAACATACTTATCACAGTTCTCACTTATAAGCTAATTTAAGCAATCTTTTTTAGGTATGCATGTTCTAAGCTAAATCTAACATGGTTTTATTTTCTGATCTCAAAGAAGATAAATCTTAATTCTACTGAAGATATTGTTATCAATATCACTGTCTCATAAACTTGCTAATATTTAGATATTGTGATACATACATGCATACATACTTGATAAAATATAGGAGTAGACATACCTAGAAACAGATCTACCTTTTTTAATGAGGCTTTAGCTCATGGCAACTTGTGCACAAAGAAAGCATGACTGTAGCATCCATAGTAATAATATACAGGAGTAATCCTACTTCATTGAAGTACATTTATGAAAGGATAGCATTGTACCACAAGAAAAGTCATAAATTATAATGATACTGGTGAATGGATTTGTTGGAGAAAATAAGTAAAATGGTATTCAATTTGTGAGAATCATTTAACACTCAAAATTTTATTTTTCTCACTAACTTCTACGAAACTTTCTATTGTTTTTTTCTTGGATTTGACTTCTCCATTTGGCGAGCTGTCATTTTGACAGGGGTTAACACCAAAGATCATCTTTCTGGAGGGCCATTTTACTAGAAAGCTTGAAGACAGCTGTGGTGGGATTTGCTTTATATTAAACCCAGTTTAGAGGAGAATGCAAAGTCCCCAGGTATACTGTTAAAGCAGGGCGTTTCAAAGTAACATCTTGCTTGGTTGCCGCTGTGAACTGCTATATCTTTATATTGTTGAAGCAGTATTTTTTTTCCTCTGCCATTAAAGGTATTAATTGTAAGTGCTTGAAAAGAACTTGTAACAAAGCACCTCTGCTCCTACTATCATTTATTTAGTTTTAGCTTTCAAAACATAGAGAAGTAACTGTTGTTTTATTTTTATATAACAGCACTTTAAAATGTTTATTTTTATGCTGTTCCTAAACAAAGTCATAAAGTCATCTCCATTACAGATCTTTCTGCTTATTTCAAACATCAAAAATTATCCATATGTGCTGAATAATTTTCACACTGTATGAAAGCTTCGGGTTTTCCTTATAATTTTTCCCAATATAGAATTTTGAATCTACATGGTTTAAGTAGTCCAGACCTTTGGTACCCAGATATGGGTGAATTAATCATCGATGACTAATATATATTTTATATAGTTTGAATTTTATTAATTTGTATAATGAAGGGAACTTCAGCCTGTTGTATTCCATGGGAAAGCAATCATCTGATGTACAGTGTTTACTTCCCAGCTTTGCAACTATAGTGACTGGAAATGATGAAGTAGTTCCCAGAATTTCAGTGTTAATTACAGTGTAGTACATCATTGGCACCTTGTTTTAGAAAAGAAAAACTTTTCAAGATTGGTATTACATTACCATCTACTTCAAATGCAGTTTAATTGTATAAGAAACATTGTTTTTACAATTTTGATTTTGAGTATTTTCCTACTAAACTATATCAAAGATATTTAATGTTTTCAAAACATGTTTTTGTAAACATGTTTTGAAAGAAATAAAGAAATGAATCACCCTAATAAATATTTTTAAATTGTTTTAGATCTGGGATATTGTAGCTGTTATTGTGATACTCTGTCAGTTTTCCTCTTCGGGGCCTCCAAGAAAACCATTTCCCAGTTTATGAAGAAAACCATTTACAGCTTCATCACTCAATTAGGAATTGCTCTCAACCACAGGAAACTGCATAGTCAAGAGTATGCCCATTGTGTGAATGCATCCTGAGGTCCATTGTTGTCCTATGGTGGGGATATCAAAGTTGAACTCTTACAACTCAATTTGGAGCAATGTGAAGGCTCATTTTAAGTCCAGAGCTGTTTATAGAATCAGCAGAATCCTCCATTGTCACCTTATTGTTTGGCAGCTTCCCCCTCTGTCTAATCCTGCATTTCTCACTTCTTTACAGGTGTGTATCTCAAGATCACTCCACAACAAAGATTCTGCCTGCAGTCCTCCACTTCAAGGTCTGTTCCAGGAAACCTGTGTAACACAGTTATGCATAGAGTGGTCTTAGGAAGCTGACTGTGACATGAAAATTTAGAGTTGGATCTTTTGCTGACCTATTGAATATTCGTAAGAGCATATGATACGTTTGTCTACCATAAACATGTCATTTCAAAAAACCCTCAAAGTTGCCTTGTAGAGCATAATTTTAAAACTAGTGTGTAGGAATATTTCATATCAGTTATTCAGTCTTCTTAATAGCTGAATCCAAATTAATCTTCCATTCTGCTTTCATTTATAAATAATATGATTTATTGTCAGATTCAATAATCTATATTTTCATTTATTCTGAAGTAGGAAATACCAGCATAAAAATAAATTGTTTGAAACAAATCACATTGTTGTCCCATTTTACCATTACTCACATGTAGAAGATAATTGTTTTTAACAAAAACAATAAGAGAAACAGAAACTACCAATTATTAACTGATGCTTACTGGAAGCTTTAGAAGGATTTTCTTATTTAACTTTCAATCAAGTTTTTCATGGACATTGTTGTTATTGACAAATAATTTTAATTTATCAAATCCTCACAGCAAATTGTAGGTGCCATTATTAACAGATTTTTTTTAAAAACCTGATTCATAGAAAAGGTTAATGATATGGTTTGGACTTTAACTCCATCAAATCTCATGTTGAATTGTAATCCCCAGTGCTGGAAGTGGGGCCTGGTGGGAGGTGATTAAATTATGGAGGTGGAGTTCTCGTGAATGCTATAGCACCATTCCTTTGGTGCTGTCTTGTGATTGAGTTTTCATGACATTTGGTTGTTTAAAAGTTTGTGGCACCTTTCCCATCTCTCTCTCTCTTGCTCTTCCTGCAGCCAGGTGAAGGGCTGTTCCCCCTTCGCCTTCTGCCATGACTGTAAATTTCCTGAGGCCTCCCCAAAAGCTGAGCAGATGTCATCATCATGCTTCCTTAACAGCCGATGGAATTACGAGTCAATTAAATCTATTTTCCTTATAAATTACCAGTTTTTGGTTTTTCTTCATAGCAGTGAGGAAATGAACTAATTCAGCTAGTAAGTGACAAATGCCATAAAAATAGCAAATAGCACACGAAGATATCCAACCTAGACTAGGGGACTCCAGAACCTAAGGATTTCTAAAAGCATAGGTTTTTAAGAGTGTGAAGAAACTAAGCCTGGGACACATTTAGGAACTCAATTACATAAGTAATAAAAATCATATATAGACTATTTAAATTTAGAAGAGGAGGAGAGGAGAAAGACGAAGAGGAGGAGGAGGAAGAAGACATTCTGGCTTAGCACATTTACTCTAGTCTGTAGGGAAAGCTCAGTTATACCCGTTCCCCACTAACCCTAAGAGGAGCTCTAATGTTCATAAGGGGCTTTCTCAAGGACTCAAATAAATCCTCAGGGATACAAAATAGGGTGGGATACCAAGCAGTAGAGTTGTGTGTGTCTCTCTCTGTGTGTGTGTGTGTGTGTTAGACAAATAGATGAAAAATTTTATTTTCTTTTGAGACATAATCATTTTGTTTGGAGAGTCTCTCTTTTTCTCTCAATTTTCTCTTTCTCTCCTTCTCTGTCTTTTTCTTTCTCACTTTCCCTTTGCAATACTAGTGAAGTAAGACAAAATGAAATGAGCATGGGGTCTTTCTCTAGCTTGATAGATCGTTTGTTATTATTTGTTTCTTCATTACAAACTGCCCTGTTAAACTTTCATGGCTTAAAACAAAATAATATATCTTGTTCCTGTTGGCAGCTTGTGGTCTTAATCCTAACCGGCCCTCTGATACCTTAGATTCTTTCTTTCCTATTTGTGAATAAAACTTCTGCTCCAGTAGGATGAGCCTGTTTCCCTTGTGACTGCCTGATTAATCTATTGTTTTATATCCCAGTTTTTAGAAGCAGGCAGATTATATTACTGGGATTAAAATATTTTTGACACTAAAGGTAGTATCTTCAGTTTTTACTTATAAGTTACTTTATGTACAGCTTGGATTAAATTACATGGATTGAGTTTCCATAGCTTTCACCATAGTGAAAATGGAAAACAGGGAGCATTCCACAGCAAACCCTGAACTTCTAGAGAGTTAATTGTCTGAGCAAAGCAAGCATTCATGCTAATTTGTTTGTGTGTGTGTGTCAGTGACAGATGAGCATGGTACTTGAACCATAATTGTACTTCTTCAGATTCCAATATCCAGTAATTTTATCACATAGATACACTAATATTAAATCCCTAAACCTACTTGAGTCTACTGTGTATTCATATTTTAAAATAATGTTTTCCAGCTTCCAAATATGTGTTATATTTTTTTCTGAATTAGAAACGTTATTTGGATTGAGTTAAAAGGATCAGTTTTTATATGTTTATTATGTCTTAAAAGTGTTTGCATTGTTACCTAGCTTCTCTTTTCTCTTTCAATGTGAATTTTTACTGGTTTATTGTATGTTGTTTATTTTCATTTTATGAAGCCATTATTATTTAGAGGGCAATGATGGAACAGTACCAGCAGAAATTGAAGTACCAGCAGAAGGATAGGAGAAAAAGAGATTTTATATTTTACTGTATTTTTTGTATTTATTTATTTTGAGACGGAGTCTCACTCTGTCACCACGCTGGAGAACAATGGCATGATCTCAGCTCACTGCAATTTCCGACTCCTTGGTTAAGCGATTATTCTGCCTCAGTCTCCTGAGTAGCTTGGATTACAGGCACACGCCACCACACTCAGATAATTTTTGTATTTTTAGTAGAGACGGGGTTTCACCATGTTGGCCAGGATGGTCTCGATCTCCTGACCTCATGATCTGCCTACCTCGGCCTCCCAAAGTGTTGGGATTACAGGTGTGAGCCACTGCACCCGGCCTGTTGTATGCTTATTCTATTTTATAGATTACATTATTCTTTTTTTTTTTTTTTGAGATGGAGTCTTGCTCTGTCACCCAGGCTGTAGTGCAATGGCGCGATCTCGGCTCACTGCAAGCTCCGCCTCCCGGATTCTCGCCATTCTCCTGTCTCAGCCTCCCGAGTAGCTGGGACTACAGGTGCCTGCCACCACGCCTGGCTAATTTTTTTGTATTTTTTAGTGGAGACGGGGTTTCACTGTGTTAGCCAGGATGGTCTTGATCTCCTTACCTCATGATCTCCCTTCCTTGGCCTCCCAAAGTGCTGGGATTACAGGTGTGAACCATCACGCCCGGCCAATTTTAGATACCTTATATAAGTAGACTTGTACAATATTTTTCCTTTTGTGTCTGGTTTATTTCCCTTAGCATAATGTTATCAAGGCTCATTTATAACACTAAAAGAATTTCCTTCAAAAAAAAAAAAAAATATATATATATATATATATATATATATATATATATATATATATATTTGTAGAGATGAGGTCTTGCCATGTTGTCCAGCCTGGTCTCAAAATTCTGGGCTCAAGTGACCTGCCCACATTAGCCTCCCAAAGCGCTGGGATTACAAGTGTAAGCCACCAAACCTGGCCAGATTTTTTTTCTTTTTATGGCTGAATAATATTCTGTGTATGTATATATTACATTTTCTTTATTCATTCACCTACTGATGGGCTGGGTTGGTTTTACCTTTTGGCCACTGTGAATAATGCTGCTATTAAACAGGTGTACAAATACCTGTTTGAGTCTCTGCTGTCAGTTTTTTTGGGCATATACCCTTAAAGGGTGTTGTTGGATCATATGATAAGTCTACGCTTAGTATTTTGAGGAAATGCCAAACCATTTCCCACAGGGGGCTGACATTCCAAACAGCAATGCATAAAGTTTCCAATTTCTCTATATGCTTACTGACAGTTAATATTTTCTGTGTATGTATTGTATTTTTATAGTGTTTGAAATTCATCTGAGGGTTTTTACTGATACCAAAATATTAGAAAAGGTTTTCCAAAGAAAATAATATGCTGTATTATAAAGACTTTTACATATTACGTGATGCCCTGTGATCTATTTTGTCAGTAAGAAGAGGAACTTCTCTCCACCCAGCCTCATTCCACTGCACCCACTCTTTTCTGTGTAGGGTTATGGACGGGAGTAAAGGAGCTTGGCACCTCTTTCCTGTGTTGATGTGGTAGCCCATCACTGGGTTGTAAAACGCCTTGCCTCCTCTTTTATTTGGGAGAAATATACTGGGTGACGTGTATTTATTTTCGGAGTGATACTGATCTAACTTTATGGAAGTAATACTAGCTAGAAAGTTAGGGAATGGATTTTCTATCTGATGAGAGTTTTGGGCAAATCGAATACCTAGTTTCTGAGCCTTATTTTTTCTCTGATGCAAGAAAACTGTAAATTAGGCAGTGAAAAACTCTCACAGCTCTGGATATGGGTTTAGGGCACTGGATTTTTACCACTTACTTTCTTTTCTTTGTGTGTGTGTGTGTGTGTGTGTGTTTTGTTTGTTTGTTTTTGAGATGGAGTCTCATTCTGTTGCCCAGGCTGGAGTGCAGTGGTGCGATCTCCACTCACTGCAACCCCTGCCTCCTGGGTTCAAGTGATTCTTCTGCCCCAGCCTTCTGAGTAGCTGGGACTCCAGGTGTGCACCGCTACGCCCGGCTAATTTTTTTTGTATTTTCAGTAGAGACGGGGTTTCACCATATTGGCCAGGCTGGTCTCAAACTCCTGACCTTGTGATCCACCCACCTCACCCTCCCAAACTGATAGGATTACAGGTGTGAGCCACCACACCCTGCCCACCACTCACTTTCTTACTACTTCTCTTGTGCAGGGATCATGGCCCAAGTTTTAGTGTCTACCCTGTCCATTGAAGATGAGGACTCCTATGAGAGCAGGATGGTGGTGACGTTCCTCATGTCAGCTCTTGAGTCCACGGTGAGGCCTTCCGTTCTAACATTCAGTAGTTCAGTAGGACTTGGTTGTAGATACGGTTGATTTGTTTTTGTAGAACATACAATTTTATGTTTTTAAGTTCTAATGAGTAGTTTTTTTTTTTCTTGAATAGTAGTTATGGTCAAACACTTCCAACCAAATGTGCGTGCAGAGTTTCTACACCAATTTTCAGACAATCTGGATACCAACCCAGTATCCCATGATTCCATTCTGACACTTCCTGGAGTTAGTGCAGACCGCACAGGTCAGGGCTCAGTCCCACAAGACTACCCTCACTTCAAATGCCAATTGCAAGCCCTGAGTTGTTACATGTTCTTTTGACCAATCAGTTAGAACCAGGGTCTCATGGCCCCCTTTTTGGGTGTTTGCTAAAACACCTTGTAGAACTCAGAAAACAGGTTATTTTCCTTTTTTTTCCTGAGATTCAGGGTCTCACTCTGTTGCCAGGCTGGAATGCAGTGGTGTGATCAAAGCTCACTGTAGCCTCAAACTCCTGGCCCTAAGTGATCCTCCCACCTCAGCCTCCCAAATAGCTGAGACTAATATAGGACTGCACCACCATAGCTGGCTATGTTCTTTTATTTTTTGTAGAGATGGGGTCTTGTTATGTTGCCCAGGCTGGTCTCAAATTTCTGACCTCACATGATCCTCCCACCTCAACTTCCACAACGTGCTGGGATTATGGACGTGAGCCACTGTGTCTCACCAATTTATTATTACTGGTTCATTGTAAAGGATGTATCCAGAAACAGCGAGTGAAAGAGATGTACATGCTGGGCACAGTGGCTTATGTCTGTAATCTCAGCACTTTGGGAGACTGAGGCGGGAGAATCGCTTAAGTTCAGGAGTTTAAGACCAGCCTGGGCAACATGGTGAAAACCCATCTCTACAGAAAGTTTTTGTAAAAATTAGCCAGGTACGGTGACATGTGCCTATAGTTCTAGGTACTCACTTGCTATTTAGGAACTTAGGAATTTTTCACTGGAATTCATGTAAAGAAAGACCATGGGCATTTGCAATGGATTTAGCATTCATCATTTGACTGCATGACTCATGCCAGAACCATAATTTTACTAATTTTTCAGATACTACTCAGCTGGGAACTGAGCCTAACCAGCAACCCACCCTCAACCATTCAGTGGTCTTTTGTTTTACTCTATTCCTCCTGAAAGTCCATTACTCTCAGAAGGTGATAAAAACTTGCATTTCTTTTTCTTTTTTCTTCCTAGAGACAGGGTCTTGCTGTGTCACCCAGGCTGCAGTGCAGTGGTGCGATCATGGCTCACTGCAGCTGGAAACCCCTGGGCTCAAACAATCCTCCCACCTCAGCCTCCCAAGTAGCTGGGACTACAGACATTTGCCCCTATGCCCAGCTGACTTCTTTGTTTTTTATTGTACAGATGGGATCTTACTATGTTGCCCAGGGTGGTGTCAAACTCCTGGCCTCAAGTGTTTTTTCTGCCTCAGCTTCCCAAAGTGCTGGGATTATACGCAGGTGGGAGCCACCTGTGTTCAACCCCTATTTTCTTTCTTTTTTTTTTTTCTTTTGGAGACAGAGTCTTGCTCTGTCACCCAGGCTGGAATGTAGTGGCATGATCTTGGCTCACTGCAAATTCCACCTCCCTGGTTCAAGCAATTCCCCTGTCATAGCGTCATGAATAGCTGGGATTACAAGTGCATGCCGCCATGCCTGGCTAATTTTTTGTATTTTAATAGAGACAGGGTTTTGCCATGTTGGCCAGGCTGGTCTCGAACTCCTGACCTCAGGTGATCTGCCCGCCTCAGCCTCCCAAAGTGCTGGAATTACAGGCATGAGCCACAGCACCCGGCCCCTTTAATGATTTTATTGAAATATGATTAACATATCATACAATTCATTTGTGAAAGTATGCAGTTCAGGCTGGGCACAGTGGCTAATTCCTATCATGCTGAGACTTTGGGAGGCTGAGGGAGGTGGATCACTTGAGTTCAGGAGTTTGAGACTAGCCTGGGCAGCAAGGCAAAACAGCATCTCTCTTAAAAATACAAAAATTAGCTGGGTGTGGTGGCTCATGCCTGTAGTCTCAACTACTCGGGGACATGAGGCTGGAAGATCACTTGAGCCCAGAAGGCATAGGTTGCAGTGAGAC
Source organism: Homo sapiens (assembly GCF_000001405.40). NCBI lineage: Eukaryota > Metazoa > Chordata > Mammalia > Primates > Hominidae > Homo > Homo sapiens. The sequence goes on from NC_000018.10 coordinate 14,670,749, forward strand.
CAGATGGCGCCACTGCACTACAACGTGGGTGACAGAAGGAGACCTTGTCTCTAAATAACTAAAGAAAAAAAGAAAGTATACAATTCAGTGGTTTTTAGAATATTCAAAGAGCTGTGTATCCATCACCACAGTCACTTTTAGAAGTGATTACTCACTTATGAGTTACCCACTTATGAGTGAGAGACCCTCACTTATTAACTGCTACCTCCTACTTCCTCCATATTCCTGTGTCTTCATAGACGACCACTGATTTATTTTCTGTCAATGTAGTTTTGCCTAATCTGGACCTTTTATGGAAATAGAATTGTACAATATGTGATCTTTTGTAGTTTGCTTTTTTTTCTCTTAGCACAATGTTTTCAAATTTCTTTCATGTTATAGTGTATATCAGTATTTTTTTCTTTTTGTAGCTGAATAATAGCTTATGTTTATCCATTCATCAGTTGATGGACATTTGTGTTGTTTCTGCATATTGGCCATCATGAGTAATGCTGCTATGAACAATCATATGCAAGTTTTAGTGTGAACATATATTTTTATTTCTCTTGGATTTACACCCAGGAGTGAAATTGTTGCATTATGTGGTAAGTTTACATTCAGCCTTTGAATAACGGCCATGTTGTTTTTCAAAGTGGTTACACCAGTCAGGCACAGTGGCTCACACCTTTAGTCTCAGGTATTTGAGAGGCTGAGTTTGGAGGATTGCATTAGCCCAGGAGTTCAGGACCAGCCTGGGCAACATAGGGAGACAATATCTTGATTTTTTAAAAAATCAAATGACAAGAAAAGAAACACCCAAATTGATTACACCATTTTATGTTCCCACCAGTAATGTATGTGGGTTCCAATTCTTCCACGTTGTCACTAACTTCTTTTTTTTTTTTTGAGACAAAACCTTGCTCTGTTGCCCAGGCTAGAGTGCAGTGGCGTGAACATGGCCAGTGCAGCCGTGATCTCCCAGGCACAAGTGATCCTCTCACCTCAGCCTCCCAAGTAGCTGGGACTTACAGGTGAATGCCATCATGTGTGGCTGATTTTTACATTTTTTTGGTAGAGATGGCGTTTTGACATGTAGCCCAGGTCTGTGTCAAACTCCTGAGCTCAAGTGATCTGCCTGCTTCAGCCTCCCGAAGTGCTGGGATTACAGGTGTGTGCCATCAAACCCGACTGGTGTAACCACTTTGGAAAACAGCCACTGAGCCTAGCCTTCACCGATATACCAATATTTGTTATTATCTTTTTTTTTTACTTACTGTTTTTTATTTTAAAAAACTTAGATTTTTTGTCTGCCTTAGTAATTATAATAACAAACAATTTTGTAGTAGAGTCCCCCAAAAAAGTGTTTGTTGTTTAACTGAAATAGTTTTTTCTTTTAACCTGGATATATATTTTTTCATTTTCATTTTATTTTTAGTTTTATTTAAAAAAAATTTTTTTAATATTTTTTATTTAATAGGTGTTTCAGAAAAAGGTGGTGTTTGGTTCCATGAATAAGTTCTTTAGTTTTGAGTTCTGAAATTTTGTAGTACCCCTCATTACTCATTAAATATATATTAATTCATTATAAAGTAATTAATAAACCAAAGACTTTAGTAAAATGGAAATTTTATTTTAACTTGCAACCTGAGAAATAACTGTCAAAAAAATTAGAGAAATTACCATATTAAAGTTTGAAAATCTTGACCCTAGCAATGAAAACGCAGGTGCACTTAAGAACCACCAGCCCGCTGGTCAAGGTGAACAAAACTAAATAAAAAGCAAAAGAAAACCAAATTCAGGATTATTCGGTATTCTGTAATGCTATTTTATCTTGGGAGTCACAGGAAATGCTTCTTCTTCTTCTTCTTCTTCTTCTTCTTATTATTATTATTATTATTATTATTTTGATATGGAATCTCTGTCACCCAGGCTGGAGTGCAGTGGCACAATCTCGGCTAACTGCAACCTCTGCCTCTTGGGTTCAAGTGATTATCCTGTCTCAGCCTCCAGAGTAGCTGGGATTACAGGCATGCTCCACCATGCCTGGCTAACTTTTGTATTTTTATTAGAGACAGGGTTTCACCATGTTGGCCAGGCTGGTCTCAAACTCCTGACCTCAAGCAATCCACCTACCTTGGCCTCCCAAAGTGCTGGAATTACAGGCATAGGCCACTGCACTCAGCTGATTTTATGCACATTCCAAGTCAGAATACATTCTATTCTTGAATACTTTGTGAATACCCAAATCATAAGCATTTTGCTGGATGCATTCATAAATATTTTATTTAAAAAGAACATTAATTGAAGTTTTACACCATTTTATGATTCATCAAACGCAGCAACTGAATACTGGCATATAGCAACATTACAGAGGTTAGTCTAAGATAAAACTCATAAAAGAGTAAAAGGAAGGAAAGGAAAAAGGATACCAAGCTATATAAAGATTTTAAAAACAGGCCGGGTGCAGTGGCTCATGCCTGTAATTTCAACATCTTGGGAGGCTGAGGTGGGCGGATCACGAGGTCAGGAGATCAAGACTCATCCTGGCTAACATAGTGAAACCCTGTCTCTACTAAAAGTACAAAAATTAGCTGGGCGTGGTGGCACGCACCTGTAGTTCCAGCTACTCAGGAGGCTGAGGCAGGAGAATCTCTTGAACCTGAGAGGCAGAGCTTGCAGTGAGCCGAGATCGTGCCACTGCACTCCAGCCTGGGTGACAGAGTGAGACTCTGTCTCAAAAAAAAAAAAAGAGATTTTAAAACAAACATTATATGTCTGAATCTTTGCCTGGAGTTTCATATTTTGTGAAAAGCATTTTGTAAGTAGAGGACTCATAAGTGCTATAAGTCACCTAGTACACTACAATGGCATAGATGTGACAGATACTCAATGAAATGATTATAACTTCTGATGTATGTTATTTTTGTTGTTCATTTATTAATCTAGTGAAAGCCAGCCAATAGATGGAATGACATTCACCTGTAAAACTTCCAAGATCCCATCCAAGCTTAGTGTCCTCTGAAGTTCTCCATAATTGATTGTCTGTTCCCACCAACATTTAGCATAAGCTCTAGAAGCTTATATTGTTAATCATCCTTCTATGTTTATGTGCTGACTTGCAAATAAATGGGCCTATGTGGCCTTTATCTTCACAGCCCTAATAATATCTACATAATGTAATAAATTTGTTATAAACCTGATGTTTCATACAATTATGTCTTATCACCTATGTTCTGGTAAAAGAATTGCTCATTTTTGCTTAAGCTTTTCTGACTCTCCATTGCCTGCTGAATACAGTAAGTTCTTACTTAGTGTGAGGATTTAATATGTTCTTGAAAACTGTGACTTGTAATTAAACCAATTTTACCATAGCCTAATTGATAGAAATAGTTTCTATGGCATATTTCTGATCACAAAAACATCACCAAACTTGGAAAGCCCCAAAACACTTACAATATTAAACACTGAAATAAATGTGCGCTCTACATACGTTTAAGAAAAATTAGGTCAGGCTCAGTGGCTCATGACTGTAATCCCAGCACTTTGGGAGGCCCAGGTAGAAGGATCACTTGAGGTCAGTAGATTGAGAGCAGCCTGGCCAACACGGCAAAACCTTGTCTCTACTAAAAATACAAAAAATTAGCTGGGTGTGAGGCTGAGGCAGGAGAATCGCCTGAACGTGGGGGGAAGTGGAGGTTGCAGTGAGTTGAGATGGAGCCACTGCACTCCAGCCTGGGTGACAGAGCAAGACACCATTTCAAAAAATAAATAAATAAATAAATGAAAAATTAATAAAAATATTACCAGGGCCACCCTGATGAAATAACTGGCAAAGTTCTTTTTCTTACTGTGTTTCTTTAGTTTCTTTATTTGTAGACACAGCTGCATAAAGAAACCAGATGGCCCAATAGCACCAGAGCTTCTCCACCCCTGACCAGATATCAGAAGGAGATAAGATCTCCAACCAGCACAAACTTGAACAGGTGACCCCTAGTTGCTTTTAGATCTTTTTTTTTTTTTTTTTTTTTTTAGACAGAGTCTTACTCTGTTGCCCAGGCTTAGGTGCAGGGGCACCATCTCGGCTCACTGCAACCTCCGGCTCCCAGGTTCAAGTGATTCTCCTCCTCAGCCTCCCAAGTAGCTGGGATTACAGGTGTGTACCACCTCACCTGGCTAATTTTTTTTTTTTTCTATTTTTTATTAGTAGAGACCGGGTTTCACCATGTTGGCTAGGCTGGTCTTGAACTCCTCACCTTAGGTAATCCACCCACCTCAGCCTCCTAAAGATGTATGTTTATGCACTGAACCTATGCACCTAGAGTCCCACCTTGTACAGTTCTTAAAAACCCCTGATAAAATTGTGTATTTATTCTAGTGATATTTTAGTGAATCTTTTTTTTTTTTTTGCAGAAAATTACTTCATTTGCAATAATGACGGTTCTACTTTTATTTTACAATCTGGACAATTTTTTTCTGTTGTAGAATTTTCCTGGCTAATACTACAATGCTGAATAGAGTGGTTAAAGTGGAAATTCTTGTCTCTCAAACTTTCAGGTAAAGAAGCACAAGTCTGTCGCCATTAAGTATGATGGATGTTAGCTGTAGGTTTTTTATAGATACCTCTTAGTGGGTCTCAAAATCTTTTCTATTAGTAGTTTGCTGGGGGTTTTGTCAGGAATGATGCTTGATATTTGTAACTTTATCTGTATCTATTTAAAGGATCACTTTTTGTTCTTTACTAATATTGGGTATTATATTGATTGAATTTTAGATACTAAGTCACAATGACATTTACAAAACAATCACATTTGTTCTTGGTGTATATTCATATTTTATGTGCCTGGATTTAGCGTGCTAAAGTTTTCTGAGGCTGTATGTGTCTACATGAATATGGCATATTTGCCCACACACCTTCTGTTTATACTTGTGTCTGGCCTTAGTATTACAGTATTACTGGCCTCTAGAATGAATTGGAAAATATTCCCTCTTCTTCATTTTTTGGAAGTATTTTCTGCTGAAGAATTAGTATTAATTATTTATTGAATATTGGTAGAATGTTTTATATAGGTTAGTTTGCCCTGGACTTTTCTTTGTGAAAATATTTTAAATGAATACTTTTGCTTTACTCGAATAACAATCCATAATATATAAATATTTATTTTATATTATACTTTTCAGTTTACTTTTATAATTTGTACATCCAAGGTGTTAATTTCTAATTTATAACATTCCATGTGTAGTAGATTTTCTAGGCTGTTAACATGAAAAAATTAGAAATAATAGAGAGTGAGTGAGACTTCAGCCCAATCAATGAATGACCCAAAGTCTGTCTATTGTAGGATGAATCATTTAAATATGATGTTATCCTTAATGTTTACATTTTTGTGTGAGGAAAATAAGGTACTGAATCTAAAGGAAATTAGTAAAACTACCATTTAACTTTGGATTTTCTCAAGAGGGCAGAACAAGTAGACCTTCTAATTTTTGTTGCTACTTAACATAAGACAGAAACATAGTTTTTAATTAGAACAAACAATATGCCATTTGAAGAATGGTATGAAGATGATAACTTGATCAATAATTTTACTAGTACTTGCTTAGTGCATACAATATGTTAGGCAAGATTCTAAGCCATTACACACACACACACACACACACACACACACACACACACACACACACATATATATAGACCTTATGTATAATTGTTTAAGGAACCCACAGATTCATGAGCAGTGAAAAATTGACATATTCTCAATCTTAGTAACTTTAAAACTATCATAAAAATTTACTGTTTTGATTTACAATAACTAAATGTACATAAAACTATTAACTTCATTAGAAAGTTTGACTCGGCATGGAGATAAATGTGTTGCACAGTTGAAAAGTAACCATAGACACATTCTTATCAAATACCAAACAAAAGCATTTAAAAAAAGATTAGGAGGGAAAGATGCCATAGAATTTGTCACAGCAAAAATACAACAGAGCACACTTTTAGGCACTGTGATATGTTAATAAAAATGATCAATTAATGTGTAAACACAGGCCAGTGTGCTCATCATTACATGAAAAAATTTTAGAACTAGTAAACAAAGTCAGTAGGTTTGCAGGATACTATATCAATGTACAAAAAATCAATTGCATTTTTATACCCCAACAACAAATATCTGGGAAAAATCAAGAAGACAGTTACATATACTATAACATCTAAAATAATAAAATATTAGGCTGGTAATGGCAAAAACCACAGTTACATTTGCACCAATCTAATACTTAGAAATAAATATAATAAAGAAGGTAAAAGATTTGTACAACAAAAACTGTAAAATATTAGTGGAGGCAATTATAGAAAAGACAAATTAAAAATACTTAGTGTTCATGGATTAGAAAAATTAGTATTAAAACATTCATGCTGGCCAGGCATGGTGGCTCACGCCTGTAATCCCAGCACTTTGGGAGGCCGAGGCGGGTGGATCATGAGGTCAGGAGATCGAGACCATCCTGGCCAAAATGGTGAAACCCTGTCCCTGCTAAAAGTACAAGAATTAGCTGGGTGTGGTGGCACATGCCTGTAATACCAGCTACTCGGGAGGCTGAGGCATGAGAATTGCTTGAGCCCAGGAGGCGGAGGTTGCAGTGAGCCGAGATTGTGCCACTGCACTCTAGCCTGGTGGTAAAGTGAGACTCCATCTCAAAAAAAAACAAAACCAGAAAAAAAAACATTCATACTACTGAAATTGGTGTATATATTTAAAGCAATTTCTATCGGAATTTCAATAGCATTTTCAACAAAAATTAAAATCCACAGTTTGTATGGAATTACAAAAAACCTCAAATAAAGCAATTTTGAGCAAGAGGGACAAAGCTAGAAGCAGTATGCTGCCTAATTTCAAGCTATATAGCAAAGCTGTGGTCATCAAAACTGCAAAATATTGGCATAAACACAAACACATAAGCCAATGGAACAGAATAGAGAGCTTAGATATGTATAAAATATATCCATCTGTGTATGGTCAACAAATTTTCAACAAAGGCATATAAACACATAATGGTGAAAGAATAAACTCTTCAATAAATGGTGATGGGAAAATGGGATATCCATATGCAAAAACAAATTGCACCCAACCTTTACATCCTACATAAAATTAACTTAAAATATATTAAAGACTTAAACATTGGACTTGAAACCATAAATCTTCTAGAAGACAACACTGAGCAAAATTCTTTGGCATTGATCCTAGCAATAGTTTTTTTTGTATTTGACACCAAAAGCACAAGAAAAAAAAGTAGGACTACATCAAACTAAAAAGTTTCTACTGCATAGCAAAAGACCATCATAGACATTAAAACGCTATCTACAGAATTGGAGAAAAATACCTGTATGCCAAATATCAGATAAAGGATTAATGTTCAAAATCTGCAAGAAACTCATAAAACTTAAGCCCCCAAAATAAAAATAACAACAAAACGTAACACATACTTTTAAAAAGTAGCCAAAAAACTAGTTTTTTTTAAAGAAGCCATTAGTAATTCTGAGAAAAATGCAAATCAAAACCACAGTGAGTTAGCATTCAAACACATATTAAGGTGATATTTATCAAAAATTCAAAAGAAAGCAAGTGTTATCAAGAATATAGAGAAAAGGGACCTTGTACACTATCACCAGGAATGTAAATTGGTACAGCCGTTATGGAAGATGGCATGGAGGTTCATCAAATAATTAAAAATAAAACTATCATGTGATTCAGCAATCTCACATCTAAGTAAATATCCAAAGAATATAAATTCACTATCTTGAAGAGATATTTTCACTCCTATGTTGATTGAAGCATTATTAACTATAGATAAGGGGCCGGGTGCAGTGGCTCACACCTGTAATCCCAGCACTTTGGGAGGCCAAGGTGTGTGGATCACGAGGTCAGGAGTTTGAGACCAGCCTGGCCAATATGGTGAAACCCCGTCTCTACTCAAAATACAAAAATTTGCTGGGTGACAGCAGGCACCTGTAGTCCCATCTACTCGGGAGGCTGAGGCAGGAGAATTGCCTGAACCTGGGAGGTGGAGGTGGCAGTGAGCCTCCAATGTGCCACTGCACTCCAGCCTGGGCAACAGAGTGAAACTCCATAGGCTGGGTAACATAGCAAGACCATGTCCCTACAAATTAGCTAGGCATGGTGGTGTATTGCTGTGGTCCTTGCTACTTTGGAGGCTGAGGTGAGAGAATAATTTATACCCAAAATTTATAGGTTACAGTGAGCTATAATCATGCCATTGCACTCCAGCCTGTTGTTATATCTAACAACAACAAGAAAAAGGAAATGTTACATATACGTATTGTATGTATGTGCGTGTGTGTGTGTGTGTGTGTGTGAGAGAGAGAGAGAGACACAATTCAGGCCTTGAAAAAAATCTTGACATTTGCAACCACATGGATCATCTTGAGGGCGTTATGCTAAATGAAATAAGCCAGACACAGAAAGATGAATACTGCATTATCTCAATTATATGTGGAATCTAAAAAAGGGCTTGAATTATAGTTACAGAGAGTAGAATGGTAGTGACCAAGGGCTGTGGCTTGGGGGAATGAGATATTGGTCAAATAGTACAAACCTGTTTTATAAGATGAATAAGTACTGGAGACCTAATGTACAGCATGGAGGCTACAGTTAATGTATAGGTAAATTTTATTAATAAAGAAGACCTCAAATATTCTTATTACACCAACAGTAACTATGGGAAGTGATGAGTATGTTATTTAGCTTGATTGTAGTGATTTTATTGTATATATTTACATATACATAAACCACATTGTATACCTTAAATATATACAATTTTTATTTGTCAATTATAGCACATGTGGGAAAATATTGTGTAACCATATAGTATCTAATTACATGTAAATTTCATTTAAAACCCTTTAAAATAAATTCTAAATTAAATGTAAAATCCAAATTGACATATTTCCAGTCAGGGAGGTTCTAATGAACAAGCATAGTATAAAAGCTAAAATTGGATATTTAGCTAAAGTACCTTTCATAAATAAGAGTAAATTAAAATATATTCAAAAGTAAAAACATTGAGAAATTTGATTACCAAGAGAAGATTGTTAAGAGTATACTTCAAGGCAGGGTGCGGTGGCTCACGTCTGTAATCCCAGCACTTTGGGAGGCTGAGGTGGGTGGATCAAGAGGTCAGGAGTTCAAGACCAGCCTGACCAACATGGTGAAATCCCGTCTCTACTAAAAATACAAAATTTAGCTGGGCATGGGGGTGCGTGCCTGTAATCCCAGCTGCTCAGGAAGCTGAGGATGAGAATTGCTTGAACCCAAGAGGTGGAGGTTGCAGTAGCTGAGATTTCACCACTGCCCTCCAGCCTCAGCTACAGAGCGAAAAAAAAAAAAAAGAGTATACCTTGAGAGAAACATTTTCTACTACCAAGATAAAATGAAAATAAAAATGTAAGAAACTTGATACAGAAATGTCAACCCATGGTAGACACTGGAATTAAAGAAATTACATGGTCCTTAGAAGCATCAGTTTTGAAAGCATATAAATATAATAAAAGTATGATTCCATGCATTTTATTAAATAAGATAAAAAGAACTCCAGGGCTACTTGAACAATTGAACTATAGGAGAAGACTATTTTTTAGAAATGTTTTCCATCGCCAACTTGTTAAAGCTTTATAGCACTTTGCATATTTTGGAGAATGTCAACTATATTTTTATCAGAGCTGATTTGTTCCAGTAGAACAACAGTGGCATAGACATCGCCCACAAGGTTCTGCATACTCAGGAAGACTGGGTTACACGTCCACAGCAGGGTTGAAGAAGATGAGATGATGAGGTCCACCCAGCACATGACCAGACAGTAGCTCACTAACAGCGGGATGGTCTGAGCAGCCCTTTTCTCTGGGAAGGCTTGTGGAGAGATGCTGATGCTGTGAAGGTGCTGAGATTGCGTCTCATGCCTGGACACAAGGATCACCATGTGTGCAATTGAATGCAGTGTAATTCCTATAATGAAGACATCCCTGGATAATGTCAGAGTAAAAAATACTTTTCTCATGAAGGACTTCATGGGAGAAAGTGAACAGTATTGCTGCCCTTAGGTAGACTGTTCTGGGTCACATTAGAAGAAGCCACAGTAAAGAATACTATGTTATAACTGAAAGACAAATTGATGGACCAAAAAAAAAAAGAAAAAAAAGATGACATGATAATGTTATTTGTGAATTTCTGTTTAAGCCTTGCCAAACAGAAGTTGTTGGGGCTGATGGTGTTGGCCTGGTGTATACTCAGGAGACAGATGTTACAGATACATAGGCCCATCCTCACTCTGTTTATGTAGGACAAGGACTTAAATTTGAACTCATTCCCTAAGTGCAGTGATTCAGGCATATCTGGAGGCCAAGCATCCACCACAGTGAGGAACATCACTACATGAATGAAGGCCGAATTACAGCTGATGAGGTCATGGGGCTTCGATTTCTGATCCTGAAGGAATATGAAGATGTTGAAGAAAAGGAAAAAGGTGTTGGCTAAAAGTCCAATGGTAGCTTGGGAAAAAAGGTTTTTTTTTTTGTTTTTTTTTTTTTTTGAGACAGAGTCTCGCTCTGTTGCCCAGGCTGGAGCACAGTGGCATGATCTCATCTCACTGCAAGCTCTGCCTCCTGGGGTCATGCCATTCTCCTGCCTCAGCCTCCTGAGTAGCTGGGATTACAGGCACCTGCCACCATGCCTGGCTAAGTTTTTGTATTTTTAGTAGAGATGAGGTTTCACCGTGTTAGCCAGGAAGGTCTCGATCTCCTGACCTTGTAATCCGCCCACCTCGGTCTCCCAAAGTGCTGGGATTACAGGCATGAGCCACTGCACCTGGCTGAAAAAAGGTATTTTTAAGCATAACAGAAGCATTGTGCTTAAAGTATGTTCATCTTAATAACAAAGAAATGTATTTCATGTATCTGGGAAAAAACAGATCTCGCATTATCAATGTTTGTTCTTTAGTGCTCCAAATAATTACCACGATCATTTTAATTTTACCTTCTCCTTGGTTATCTCTGATTATCTCAGGTACATTCTGGATAATCTAGCCTCTTCACTCATTTCCACATCAAATAATATAAAACATCAACACAGCCACAGAGTGTACAATTTCTAAACTTTTATTGTACCATCTGGGTTCCAAACTTTTTAATGTGAAAGCTCAGTTTTCTACGTAGCTTCTGCCTAATGAATTGTATGTTCTCAGAACTTGTCAACAAAATATACCTCCCAATAATCCAGCCTTCAAAATGTGCACAACACAATATCACATTTCCTAATGTGTTTCTATGGGTTCCCTACAGGTGATTTGTAGTGTTCTTCAAATATGTTCCTTAGTGGATTTTATTTTTCTGAATTGAACTAAAGCAAAAGTATTTTGGAAGTCAGAAAAATGTTACTTCTTTCAGAGTTACATAGGAGAAGTGCTCTGTCCTCCAGAGGACACGTCTGTGACACAGAGCATGAGATACAGAGAGGAAAACCTAGGCTGCTTATTACTTCCACTCCCATCAGTTTGTCCTGATGCATTTATTGAGAACAGAAGGATATCTCCATTCCAGGCCCTGAGTTTTGTGTCTTGTAGTGAGTCTGTGCCTCTGTCTTGTCATCTTAAAAAATGCTTCACATTTCTTTTCCCACCCCCTTAGGTTTAACAGGAAGGCTAGAGGGAATGGGAGTTGCATATGTTTCTTCTCTCACATGAAGGGCTCAAGTGGTCTGAAGTTGAATATTTCTCTTCTTCCCCACTGAAGACTGCAGCAGTCTGGTGATGGGTATTTCCCTTAACTTAGGTCATATAAACTCTGACAAAACCCCAGTAGGTTAGGCTTTGCTCAAATAGTTTTCTGATGGCAGAGCTTGGTAAGAAGAATAGAATGTTCTAGGTGGCTTTTAGAATGGGTACATTTCCTTTCCCTATGCCAGAAACACGAGATTTTTCTACCTCTAGTCTAAGAATCTGGTAGGGCTTCTGACGATAAAACTCTTCAAAAGTGAGAAGGAGGGACTAAGACTGGCTTCCCTGGAGATTTTAACTCTCACGCTTGTCCACTCTCAGGCTTCAGCAATTCCTCAATTACAGTGTAGGTTTCCTACCATAGTACTAATTGCTACTGAAGATTTTCTTACACGTTTCTCTTCTGGTAAGTGGTGATGATCTTTATTCATATACCTTTCCATACAGTTTGGGGGCAGATGTTTAGCTCATGACCTCATTTTTCCTTTTTTAATTCTTTTTTTTGAGACAGAGTCTGACTCTGTTGCCCAGATTGGGGTGCAGTGGCATGATCACAGCTCACTGCAACCTCTGCCTCCTGGATTCAAGCAATTTTTTTAATTATACTTTAAGTTTTAGGGTACATGTGCACAATGTACAGGTTAGTTACATATGTATACATGTGCCATGCTGGTGTGCTGCACCCATTAACTCGTCATTTAGCATTAGGTGTATCTCCTAAAGCTATCCCTCCTCCCCTCCCCCCACCCCACAACAGTCCCCAGAGTGTGATGTTCCCCTTCCTGTGTCCATGTGTTCTCATTGTTCAATTCCCACCTATGAGTGACAATATGCGGTGTTTGGTTTTTTGTTGTTGCGATAGTTTACTGAGAATGATGATTTCCAATTTCATCCATGTCCCTGCAAAGGACATGAACTCATCATTTTTTATGGCTGCATAGTATTCCATGGTATATATGTGCCACATTTTCTTAATCCAGTCTATCATTGTTGGACATTTATGCTGCTTCCAAGTCTTTGCTATTGTGAATAGTGCCGCAATAAACATATGTGTGTATGTGTCTTTATAGCAGCATGATTTATAGTCCTTTGGGTATATACCCAGTAATGGGATGGCTGGGTCAAATGGTATTTCTAGTTCTAGATCCCTGAGGAATTGCCACACTGACTTCCACAAGGGTTGAACTAGTTTACAGTCCCACCAACAGTGTAAAAGTGTTCCTATTTCTCCACATCCTTTCCAGCACCTGCTGTTTCCTGACTTTTTAATGATTGCCATTCTAACTGGTGTGAGATGGTATCTCATTGTGGTTTTGATTTGCATTTCTCTGATAGCCAGTGATGGTGAGCATTTTTTCATGCGTTTTTTGGCTGCATAAATGTCTTCTTTTGAGAAGTGTCTGTTCATGGCCTTTGCCCACTTTTTGATGGGGTTGTTTGTTTTTTTCTTGTAAATTTGTTTGAGTTCATTGTAGATTCTGGATACATTAGCCCTTTGTCAGATGAGTAGGTTGCAAAAATTTTCTCCCATTCTGTAGGTTGCCTGTTCACTCTGATGGTAGTTTCTTTTGCTTTGCAGAAGCTCTTTAGTTTAATTAGATCCCATTTGTCAATTTTGGCTTTGGTTGCCATTGCTTTTGGTGTTTTAGACATGAAGTCCTTGCCCATGCCTAGGTTTGGGCATGGTAATGCTTGAATGGTATTGCCTAGGTTTTCTTCTAGAGTTTTTATGGTTTTAGGTCTAATGTTTAAGTCTTTAATCCATCTTGAATTAATTTTTGTATAAGGTGTAAGGAAGGGATCCAGTTTCAGCTTTCTACATATGGCTAGCCAGTTTTCCCAGCACCATTTATTAAATAGGGAAGCCTCTCCCCATTGCTTGTTTTTCTCAGGTTTATCAAAGATCAGATAGTTGTAGATATGTGGCATTATTTCTGAGGGCTCTGTTCTGTTCCACTGATCCATGTCTCTGTTTTGGTACCAGTACCATGCTGTTTTGGTTACTGTAGCCTTGTAGTATAGTTTGAAGTCAGGTAGCGTGATGCCTCCAGCTTTGTTCTTTTGGCTTAGGATTGACTTGGTGATGCGGGCTCTTTTTTGGTGCCATATGAACTTTAAAGTAGTTTTTTCCAATTCTGTGAAGAAAGTCATTGGTAGCTTGATGGGGATGGCATTGAATCTATAAATTACCTTGAGCAGTATGGCCATTTTCATGATATTGATTCTTCCTACCTATGAGCATGGAATGTTTTTCCATTTGTTTGTATCCTCTTTTATTTCATTGAGCAGGATTCAAGCAGTTCTGATGCCTCAGCCTCCTTGGTAACTGGGATTGCAGGCACCCGCCACCATGCTCAGCTAATTTTTGTATTTTTAGTAGAGACGGGGTTTCACCATGTTGGCAAGGCTGTTCTCGAATTCCTGACCTCAGGTGATCAGCCCACCGCAGCCTCCCAAAGTGCTGGGATTTGTACAGGCATGAGCCACCACACCTCGCCTTTAATTTTGTTTTTAATTGGCACAATAATTTTACATATAGATGGGGTACAATGTGAGCTTTAGATATGTGTTTATATATGTAATAATCAAATTAGGGGATTTAGCATATCCAACATCTGATTTATTATTTCTTTGTGGTGAGAACATTCAAAACTCTCTTTTCTAGCCATTTGAAATATTCAATACAAAATTGTTCACCATAGTCACCCTACTGTGCACTAGAATATATTCCTCCTGTTAACTGTAACTTATTGCCCATTGACCATTTTCTCCTCATTTTGCACTCTGTTGCACACCCTAGCTTCTAGTAACCACCATTCTACTCTCTACTCCTATGAGATCAACTTTATTAGATTCTATATATTAGTGAGAATGTGCAGTATTTGTTTTTATGCCTGGCTTATTTTACTTAACACGGTGTCCTCCAGGTTCATCCATGTTGCTGCAAAGAACGGAATTTTATCTTTTTATGGCTGAATACTATTTCATTGTGTGTGTGCGTGTGTATATATAATGAAATATGATTGTGTATTTACATTATTGTGTAATATATATCTATATTACATTGTGTAATATATTACATTGTGTACACACACACACACACACACCACATTTGTAAAATCCATTTATTTATTAAAGGACATCAGATGATTCCATGTCTTTGCTATTGTAAATAGTACTGTGTACTAGTACAATAGTACTAGTACTTAGTATGATTGTAAATAGTATTGTAATAGTACTGTGATGAACATAAGCATGCATGTGTCTTTACAGTTGAATGATTTCTGTTTTGGGGGTATATACCAAATAATGAAATAATGGAATTGGTGGGTCAAATGGTAGTTTGGTTTTAAATTCTTCGAGAAGTCTCCAGAGTACTTTCTAAGTGGCTGGAAAAATTTACATTCCATCTAGCAGTGTATAAGCTTTCTCTTCACTACCCACCAGCATCTATTATTCTTTGCCTCTTTAATATGGCTACTGTGACTGATGTGAGATGGTATCCAGTGGTTTTGATTTGCATTTTTCTAATGATAGTGACATTGAGCATTTTAATATGCTTGTTGGATGCGTGTCTGTCTTCTTTTGAGAAGTGTATGTTCATGTTCTTTTTTCATTTTTAGTAAGGTTTGTTTTTTGCTTGGTGAATTACAATTTTTTAAATAGATTCTACATATTAAAGCTTTGATGAAAAACATAGTTTGCAAGTTTTTTTTTTCTCATTCTGTTGGTTGTGTGTTTACTCTGTTGATAGTTTCTCTTGCTGTGCTGAAGCTCTTTAGCTTAATCCAGTATCATTTGTCAACTTCTTGTGTGTCAGTTGCTTTTAGAGTCTTGAAGTCTTTGCCAGGGCCAATGTACAGCATGGTATTTCCTAGGTTTTCTTCTAGGGTTCTTACACTTTTAGGTTTTATATTAAGTCTTTAATCCATCTTGAGTTAATTTTTATATATGGTATAAATGAAGTAGTCCAGCTTCAATCTTCTGCATATGACTAGCCAGTTATCCCAGCACTATTTATTGAATAGGGAGTCTTTTCCTTCCTTTCCTTTTTTTTTTTTTTTTGAGATGGATTCGAGTTATTGCCCAGGCTGGAATGCAGTGCCACGATCTCAGCTCACTGCAACCTCCGTCTTCCAAGTTCAAGTGATTCTCCTGCCTCAGCCTCCAGAGTAGCTGAGATTACAGGCACCCTCCACCACGCCCAGCTAATTTCTGTAATTTTAGTATAGATGGGGTTTTACCATATTGGCCAGGCTGGTCTCAAACTCCTGACCTCAGGTGATCCACCCTTCTTGGCCTCTGAAAGTGGTGGGATTACAGGCATGAGCCACTGTGCCTGAGGGGGAGTCCTTTCCTTATTGTATGTTATTCTTGGCTTTGTGAAAAAATCAGGTGGTTTTAGATGTGTGGCTTTATTTTTATTTATTTATTTATTTACTTATTTATTTATTATTATACTTTAAGTTTTAGGGTACATGTGCACAATGTGCAGGTTAGTTACATATGTATACATGTGCCATGCTGGTGCGCTGCACCCACCAACTCGTCATCTAGCATTAGGTATATCTCCCAATGCTATCCCTCCCCCCTCCCCACACCCCACAACAGACCCCAGAGTGTGATGTTCCCCTTCCTGTGTCCATGTGTTCCCATTGTTCAATTCCCACCTATGAGTGAGAATATGCGGTGTTTGGTTTTTTGTTCTTGCGATAGTTTACTGAGAATGATGATTTCCAATTTCATCCCTGTCCCTACAACGGACATGAACTCATCATTTTTTATGGCTACATAGTATTCCATGGTGTATATGTGCCACATTTTCTCAATCCAGTCTATCACTGTTGGACATTTGGGTTGGTTTCGTCTTTGCTATTGTGAATAAGGCCGCAATAAACATACGTGTGCATGTGTCTTTATAGCAGCATGATTTATAGTCCTTTGGGTATATACCCAGTAATGGGATGACTGGGTCAAACGGTATTTCTAGTTCTAGATCCCTGAGGAATTGCCACACCGACTTCCACAATGGATGAACTAGTTTACAGTCCCACCAACAGTGTAAAAGTGTTCCTATTTCTCCATATCCTCTCCAGCACCTGTTGTTTCCTGACTTTTTAATGATCACCATTCTAACTGGTGTGAGATGGTATCTCATTGTGGTTTTGATTTGCATTTCTCTGATGGCCAGTGATGGGTGAGCATTTTTTCATGTGTTTTTTGGCTGCATAAATGTCTTCTTTTGAGAAGTGTCTGTTCATGTCCTTTGCCCACTTTCTGATGGGGTTGTTTTTTTCTTGTCAATTTGTTTGAGTTCATTGTAGATTCTGGATATTAGCCCTTTGTCAGATGAGTAGGTTGTGAACATCTTCTCCCATTCTGTAGGTTGCCTGTTGACTCTGATGGTAGTTTCCTTTGCCATGCAGAAGCTCTTTAGTTTAATTAGATCCCATTTGTCAATTTTGGCTTTGGTTGCCATTGCTTTTGGTGTTTTAAACATGAAGTCCTTCCCCATGCCTGTGTCCTGAATGGTAATTATTTCTGGGTTCTCTAGCCTGTTCCTTTGGTCTCTGTGTCTATTTTTGTACCTGTATCCATGCTCTTTTAGGTATTGTAGTCTTGTAGTGTAGTTTGAAGTTGGGTAGTATGATGAGTCTAGCTTTGTTCCTTTGCATAGAATAGCTTTGAGTATTCAGGCTCTTTTTTTGTTTCAAATAAGTTTTTTCATTTTTAAAAAATTCTGCAAAAAAATGTTGTTGGTAGTTTAATAGGAATAACATTGAATTCAAAAGTAAATTTCTTTCAGTAGCAGGGCCATTTTAGCAATATTGATTCTTCCTATCCATGAGCGAGGAATGTTTTTCTGTTTGTTTTTGTCATCTCTAATTTTTTTGAACAATGGTTCGTAATTCTCATTGTAGAGAACATTTGCCTTCCTGGTTAGCTGTGTTTCCAGGTATTTTATTCTTTTGGTGGCTATTGTGAATATAATTGTATTTTCAATTGGATGTTATTGGTGTATAGAAATGTTACTGATTTCCATACATTTATTTTGTATGCTGAAACTACTGAAGTTTTTTTTTCCAGATCTAGGAGCCTTTGGGCAGAGACTGTGGGCTTTTCTAAGTATAGAATTATATAATTTGTGAAATGAAATCATTTGACTTCCACTCTTCCTATTTGGATGCCTTTTATTTATTTCCACTGCCTGATTGCTTTGGCTGGGACTTCCAATATTTTATTTAATAGGAATAGTGAGCATGAGTATCCTTGTTTTCTTCTGGTTCTCAAAAGGAATGTTTCAAGCTTTTGCCCTTTCAGTATGATCTTGACTGTGGGTTTGTTATAGATGGCTGTTATTATCTTGAGGTATGTACCTTTGATGCCTAGTTTTTGAGGGTGTTTAACCATGCATCCCAGGAATAAAGCCTACCTGATCATGTTGGATTAGCTTTTCTGATGTGATGCTGGATTCAGTTTGGTAAATATATTTATATTTATATGTAAATATTTATATTTATATGTATTTATATTTATATGTAAATATTTATGTTTATATGTAAATATTTATTTTATATGTAAATATTTATATTTATATTTATATGTAAATATTTATATTTATATTTATATGTAAATATTTATATTTATATTTATATGTAAATATTTATATTTATATTTATATGTAAATATTTATATTTATATTTATATGTAAATATTTATATTTATATTTATATGTAAATATTTATATTTATATTTATATGTAAATATTTATATTTATATTTACAGAAATACATAAATATATTTATATAAATATGTTTATGTAAATATATATTATTTATATAAATAAAAACAATATATATTATATATAATATATAAATTATATATAATATATATTATATATTATATATAAATTATATATAATATATATTATATATAATATATAAATTATATATAATATATATTATATATAATATATAAATTATATATATATAATATATAAATATATATATATATATTTTTTTTTGAGGTAGAGTTTCACTCTTGTTGCCCAGGCTGGAGTGCAGTGGCATGATCTCGGCTCACTGTAACCTTCACCTCCCATGTTCAAGGGATTCTCCTGTCTCAGCCTCCCAAGTCGCTGGGACTACAGCCCTGTACCACCATGCCCAACTAATTTTTTCTATTTTTAGTAGAAACGGAGTTTCACCATGTTAGCTGGGCTGGTCTCGAACTCCTGACCTCAGGTGATCTGCTTGCCTCTGCCTCCCAAAGTGCTGGGTTTATAAGCGTGAGCCACCATGCCCAGCCCAATTTGCTTTTTTTTTTTTTTTTTTTCCCATATCTGCTAGGTTTTGGTTTCAGAATGATGCTGGCCTCATAGAATGAGTTAGGAAGAAGTCTTTCCTCCTCCTTTTTTTGGAATAGTTTCAGTAAAACTGGTACCAGCTCTTCTTTATATGTGTGGTAGAATTTGGCTGTGAATCCATCTGGTCCAGAGTTTTTCTGGTAGGCTTTTTATTATTGATTCAGTTTCAGAAGTCAGTATTGGTCTGTTCAGGATTTTAATTTCTTCCTGATTCAGTCTTGGGGGTTTATATGTTTCCAGGTATTTATCCACTTCTTCTGTGTTTTCTAGTTTGTGTGCATGAAGGTGTTCATAACAGTCTCTAATGGTTTCATGTATTTCTGTGGCATCAGTGATAATATTTCCTTTGTCACTTTTTATCATGTTTAGGTAGATCATCCTTTTTTCTTTAGCTAGCAGTCTAACAATCTTATTTATTCTTTCAGAAATAAGTTTCACTGGATTTTTGTACAGTGTTTTTTTTTTTGATCTCTGTTTCATTCAGTTCAGCTTTGATATTTCTTGTCTTCTAGCTTTGGGGTTGATTTGCTGTTACATTTCTGTTTCCTCCAGATATCACCTGGCACAGTGGCTCATGCCTGTAATCCCAGCACTTTGAGAGGCCGAGGTGGGTGGATCACCTGAGGTCAGGAGTTTGAGACCAGCCTGACCAATATGGTGAAACCCCGTCTCTACTAAAAAGAAAATAATTAGCTGGGCATGGTGGCACACACCTGTAGTCTCAGCTAGGCTGAGACAGGAGAGTTGCTTGAACCCGGGAGATGGAGGTTGCAGTGAGCTGAGATTGCTCCACTGCACTCCAGCCTGTGTGACAGGGCAAGACTCCGTCTCAAAAATAAATAAATAAAATAAAAAGATACAATGTTAGGTTCTCAATTTGATGTCTTTCTAACTTTTTAATGTGGGTATTTAGTGCTACAAACTTTCCCTTTAACACTTTTTTTAAACAGTTTCTCAGTGATATAGGTATGTTGCATCTTTGTTTCTGTTAGTTTCACATAATTTATTGATTCCAGCCTTAATTTTATTCGTTACCCAAAAGTCACCAGCAGCTGCTTATTTAATTTTTTATTAAATTGTATGGTTTTGAGAGATCTACTTGGTATTGATACCTATTTTTATTGCACTGTGGTCCGATAGATAGTGTGGTTGGTATGATTTTGATTCTTTAGAATATGTTGTGAGTTGCCTTATGGCCAAGTGTGTGGTGGTCAGTTGTAGAGTATGTGTCATGTGCAGGTGAGAAGAATGTACATTCTGGTTTTGCTGGCTTGAGTGTTCTGTAGATGACTGTTAGGTCCATTTGGTTAAGTGTCAAGTTTAGGTCCTAAATATATTCTGCCTTGGTGATCTGTCCAGTGCTTTCAGTGGGGTTTTAAAGTCTCCCAGTATTATTGTGTGGTTATCTAAGTCTCTTCATAAGTCTCTAGGAACTTGATTTATGAATCTGGGTGCTCCAATGTTGGGTGCATATAATTAACATTTAGGATAGTTAAGTCTTCTTACTGAATTGAACCCATTATCATGAAATGCCCTTCTTTGTCTTTTTTGATCATTGTTAATTTAAAGTCTGTTTTGTCTGAAAAAAGAATAGTAACTTCTGCTCTTTTTTGTTTTCTGTTTGCTTGGTAGGTCTTTCTCCATCTGTTTTCTTTGAGCCTGTGGATGTCCTTGCATGTGAGATCGGTCTCTTGAAGACAGCATACAGTTGGGTCTTGCTTCTTTATTTAACTTGTCACTCTGCGCCTTTTCAGTGGGGTATTCAGCACATTCTTTTTCGAGGTTAATACTGATATGTGCAGATTTGACCCTGACATTGTGTTGTTAGCTGTTTGTTATGTAAACTTGATTGTGTATTTACATTATAGTATAAATAGCCCATGTACTTCAGTGTGTTTTTTGTGGTGGCCAGTAATAGTCTTTCTTTTCCATGTTTAACATACTCTTAAGAATCTCTTTTAAGGCAGGTTTGGTGGTAATGAATTCCCTTAGCATTTGCTTGTCTGAAAGGATATCTTTTATCTTTTGTTTATGAAGTTTTAGTTTGGTGTGATTAGATTCTTGGTTGGAGTTTGTTTTCTTTGAGAATGCTGAATATAGGCCCCCCAATTGCTTTTGTCTTGTACAGTTTCTGCTGGAAGGTCTGCAGATAGCCTAATGGAGTTCCCTTTATAAGTGACCTGCACCTTGTCTCCAGCTGCCTTTAATATTTTTTCTTTCACACAGACCTTGGAGAATCTGATGACTACATGTCTTGGGTATGGTTATCTTGTGTACTATCTCCCAGGGGTCCCCTGAATTTTCTGAATTTGAATTTCAACCTCTCTAGGAAAGTTAAGAAAATTCTTATGGACAGTATCCTAAAAAATGTTTTCCAAGTTACTCGTTCTGTCTTCCTTTCTCTTAGAGATGCCAATGAGTTGTAGATTTGGCATCTTCACATAATCCCATATTTCTCAAAGGTTTTGTTCATGAAAAACAATCTTTTTCAGTTATTTTTGTCTGACTGAATTAATTCAAAGAACTGGTCTTTGAGCTCTGAGATTCTTCCCTCAGCTTGGTCTCGTCTGGTGTTAATATTTCTGATTGTATTACAAAATTCTTTTTGTGAGTTTTTCAGCTTTATCAGATCAGTTTTGTTCCTTCTTAAGAAGGTTATTTCATCTCTCATCTCTTGAATAGTTTTGCTGAATTTTTTAGATTCCTTGAAATGGGTTTCAACTTTCTCCTGAATCTTGAAGATCTTCATTGGCATCCAGGTTCTGAATTCTCTGTCTGTCATTTCAGCAATTTTATGCTGGTCCTCCACTTGAGTACTAGCCATAGGTCTTGGCTTGGCACTCCCATCCCATAGCCCTGTGCACCATAGCTCTGGGGTGAACTCAGGCTTTTCTTTTTCTCCCCAGCTTGGGAGCAGCAGTGTTGGGGACCTTGGCAATGGCAATGGCAGAAAGCCTTTCTGTTGTCTCTTGGGGTACCACATCAGAGACGTGCAGAGCTCTGCCAATCAGAATGATCAGTCAGAAATGGAGCAGCTGCATTGTGAGCCCAAGCTGGGACCCCTGTCTAGTGAAGAGCAGGGGATTTGGGGCCAACAGGGAAGAGAGACTGGGCTTCCCTCCATATGGTGCCTGTGGCCTGCTGGAGGTGTGAGCAAAGCACTCAGGCACTTTGTTTCTTCCCCAGCCTGAGGGCAGCAAGGGCAGTATCACTGCAGCAGTAATGGCAAAAGGGCTCTCAGTTGCCTCTGGGAACTCCACCCCAGAGAGACGCAGAGCCACTGCCAATGAGAATGTTCAGCCAAGGGTGAGGTGGCTGAACTGTGGGCTTAAACCTGGGCCTCCTTCTGGTGAAGAGCAGGTTGCCAGAAGCTCACAGAGAAGAGAAACTGGGCTTCTCTCCAACTGGTGGCTGTGGCACACTGGAGGTGCTGGCAAAGCAATCAGGGTCTTTATTCTTTCCCCAGGCCAAGGGCAGCAGTGGTGGTACTGCTACAGTGGCAATGGCAGAGAGCCCGTGGGTTACCCCTGAAAGCTCCATCTCAGAGAGATGCAGAGATGCCACTGAATGAAGCAGTCCTTCAGGGTGGGGGTGCAGGATGGCTGTGCTGGGGGCCCAGATCAGGAGACCCTACCCAGTGAGGCATAGCAGGGAGGGGGACCCACGTGGATACAGTTTGCCCACTTTCTGTAAGGCAGCTGTGGTGTGCTAAGAAGCCTATGATAGTTCTTGGGCTCTTCAGTCCCTCCCTAGCCTAGGAGAGGTAGAGGCAGGGACCATGGCAGTTGCAAAAACAGTAGGCCTGATAGTTACCTCTAGGAGGTCAGTCTGCAGAGTTGCAATTAGCCTGAGTGCTCAGGCAGAGGGTAAGTGGCTGCACTGGGACCCAGGCCAGTGGGCACTACCAGGAGAGGTGTAGTGGAGGTGAGGCCGCTACAGGAGGTAGAGCAGAGACAGGAGGTGAGTCTGTCTCCTCCTCAGCACTGTAGATATGGCCCCTATCCTGGGGGCATGTGAGAGAGTCTGGCCTCTTCTGGTGGCAGAACTATAGCAGCTGGCACTATGGTGCTCAGGGGTCCAAGGCCCTTAGGGTTCCATGTGGGCCTGACTGGAGGCTCTGCCCAGACTCCATGCAGTTCTCTGTGTCAGTTGAGGAGCCCTGAGGGGAGGGTGTCGGGGGATTTTCTGTGCCCAGGATTTCAAAAGTCGATGGCAGAAAGGTGAGTCACCAGTGGCTCTTGCTCACTATTTTCCTGCCGTGGGGAACCCCCGCTGGGATCCACACCAATTCTGGGTGGGTGGCTTTTCTGTCTCACTCCTCTTTGTTCTCCGTGGTTCACATTTCTTCCTTGATGAATTCCCCATTTTAAAACAACTTTACATACATTTGTGGAGTGTAAGTGCAATTTTGTTACATGCATAGATTGCATAGTGCTATCAAGGTTCATCTATAGCAGTATCAGAATTTTTTAAAAAAAAACTTACAGAGATGAGGTCTTGCTATTTTGCCCAGGCTGATCTGGAATTCCTGGGCTCAAGTGATCTGCCTGCCTCGGCCTCCCAAAGTGCTGAGATTACAGGGGTAAGTCACTGAGCCTGGCCAGAATTGTTTTTTCTTTATACAGCTGAATAATATTTCATGTATGTGTGTATATCACATTTTGCTTATCTATTTACCTATTGATGGGCAGTAGGGTTGGTTGTACCTTTTCGCCATTGTGAATAATGTTGCTATGAACATGAGTGTACAAATACCTGTTTGAGTCCTTGCTCTCAGTTCTTTTGGGTATATACCCTGAAAGGGAGTTGTTGGATTATGTGATAATTCTATGCTTAATATTTTAAGGAGCTGCCAAACCATTTTCCACAGGGGCTGCACCAGTTACATTCCAAAAAGCAGTGCATAAAGGGTCCAGTTTTTCGATATCCTTGCTGACATTTAATATTTTCTGTTTATGTGTTGAATATTTAAAGTGTTTGAAATTCATTTGAGGGTCTTTGTAATTACCAAAATATTATAAAAAGTTTTTCAAATAGAGCAATATGCTGTAATATAAATCATCTTATTTGTTTCTTGGTGCCCGTGATCTATTTTCACAGTAAGAAGAGAAACTTCTCTCTGCCCATCCTCAGTCCACTGCACCCACCCTTTGCTGTGTCAGGATGTGCAGGGGAGAGAGGGAGCTTGGCAGCTCTGTCCTGCATTGGTCTGTGGTAGTCCATCACTGGGTTGTAAAGCACCTCTCCTCCTCCTCCTTCTTGGGAGAAATTTCACTGATTCTGAGTGCCATCTGCATTTATTTTGGGTGTGATATTAACCCAATGTTATTGAAATAACACTAGATAGGAAGTTAGGGGGTAGATTCTCTATCTGATGAGAGTTTCAGGCAAATCATATACTTAGTTTTTTAGTCTTGTTTTTTCTCTTAGGTAAGAAAACAGTAAATTAGGCAGCCAGTGGGAGATCCTCAGAGCTCTGAATGTGGATTTGGAACACCACATTTCTACCACTGATTTTCTTATTACTTGTCTTGCACAAAGATCATGGCCCAAGTAACAGTGTCCACCCTGGCCGTTGAAGATGAGGAGTCCTCAGCAGGATGGTAGTGACATTCCTCATGTCAGCTCTTGAGTCCATGGTGAGACCTTCTATTCTGACATTCCATAGTTGGGTAGAACTGGGCTGTAGATAAGGTTGATTTGTTTTTGTAGAAGATATAATTTTATGTCTTTTTAGTTTTAAGGAGTAGTTTTTTTTTCTTGAATAGCAGTTATGGCTTTCAAATGACATTTTATTACCATGCTTCAGAATGTTTAATTTTTACTTTGAATCTCAAATAATTTTCTACCATTATTTTAGGCAATCTTTTGTTTTTGTAAGTGTGAATTTTGAAATTATGTATAATATTTGTGGTTACTCAGAATGAGTTTATATACTAGAGTATGGGGCTGGAGTTTTATTGTATCAATATGTAGAAGATTCCCAGAATTTGGGGTCATGAGGGCATCTTTACTATTGTGTATCTATATTTCTTCTGCTTACACATTCACTATTGCATTAACCACCTCTTTCTAAATTGTTTAGTGTTAGCTGTTTATGTTTCTTTTTT
Source organism: Homo sapiens (assembly GCF_000001405.40). Lineage (NCBI taxonomy): Eukaryota > Metazoa > Chordata > Mammalia > Primates > Hominidae > Homo > Homo sapiens. The sequence goes on from NC_000018.10 coordinate 14,695,988, forward strand.
TTTTTTTCCGGAATCTCACTCTGTCACCCAAGGAGGAGTGCAGTGGTGCGATCTTAGCTCACTGCAACCTCTGCCTCCCAGGCTCAAGTGATTCTCCTGACAGCCTTTCCAGTAGCTGGGACTGCAGATGTGTGCCACCACACTCAGCTAATTTTTGTATTTTTGCTAAAGATGGGTTTTCACAATGTTGGCAAGGCTTGTCTTAAACTCCCGAGCTCAAGTGATCTGTCTGCCTTGGCCTCCCAAATTGCTGGGATTACAGGTGAGAGCCACCGCACCTGGCCAGCTCTTTACTTAAAAAAAAAAAAGCCTATCATATGCATAATTACAGTGAAATATTGAGTACTGATTATGTAGTTTTGTATTTTTATATTACTATCATGGTAGTTATACAATTAATTTATATTTTTATGGGTATGTAGTTGGAAATAGTATTTATTATAAAAAGTATCAGGTGGCTGGGTACGGTGGCTCACGCCAGTAATCACAACACTTTGGGAGGCCAAGGAGGGTGGATCACGAGGTCAGGAGATTGAGACCATCCTGGCTAACACGGTGAAACCCCGTCTCTACTAAAAATACAAAAAAAATTAGCTGGGTGTGGTGGCGGATGCCTGTAGTCCCAGCTACTCGGGAGGCTGAGGCAGGAGAATGGCATGAACCTGGGAGGTGGAGCTTGCAGTGAGCCAAGATCGTGCCACTGCACTCCAGTCTGGGCGACAGAGTGAGACTCTGTCTCAAAAAAAAAAAGAAAAAGTATCAGACTTAGGTATTTTCTTTTTTTTTTTAACCTTTTTTTTTTTTTTTTTTTTTTTTGAGAAAGGATCTTACTCTCTTGTCCAGACTGGAATGCAGTGGTGTAATCATGGCTCACTGCAGCCTGGACATCCTGGGTTGAAGTGGTCTTCCCACCTCAGCCTCAGAGTAGGTGGGACTGTAGGCATGTGCTACCACATCTGGCTACTTTGTTTTGCTTTTTAGTGGAGATGAGGTCTTAATATATTGCCCAGGCTGGTCTGTAACTCTAGAGCTCAATCAATTCCACCTCTGCCTTTCAAAGTCCTGAGATTACAGGCATAAGCCACTGTTCCTGGCCTAGCTAATTTTTAAGCTTTTTTGTAGAGACAGGGTTTCTTTACGTTGCCCAGGTTTGTCTTAAACTCCTGGGTTCAAGCAATTGTCCTGTCTTGGCTTCCCAAAGTGTTGGAATTACAGGTATGAGCCACCATGCATGGCCTTAGGTGTTTTCTGACATATTAAATGTAAATGTTTTAAGCAGGAGTATGCATTTTCCTCCTCTTAAGTGGGTGAAAAGTATTTAGGTGGTGCTTAACCTCACAGAACTCTGTGTGACAAAGTTTGTGGATGCTTTTTTTTCATTTTTTTGAGACAGGATCTGACTCTTTTAGGTTGGAGGGCAGTGGCATGATCATAGCTCAGTGCAGCCTTGACCTCTTGGGTTCAAGTGACTTTCCTGCCTCAGCCTCCCATAGTGCTCAGATTACAGGCTTGAGCATCTGTGCTTGGCCATCTGTTTTGTTTTCTTATTAGGGCATTAAAAAAATGTTTTAAGAACTTTATAAAATTATCTCCTTAAAGAAATTTTAGAATGGTTGGTGGTTATATGTTGTTATTTTATGAATGACTTGTTTCTGCCTTGTGATCATAAAACCAGGCAAAATTTGTGACTTTAATGTTAAATAAAAATTTAGAGATGAAATGCTGTTCTGTTGATAATAAAATATTTTTTTTAAATATTGATCTCTGCAAAGAATACCATAAGGCCATGTAAGATCCATTCACTTCCTTAGAGTTTCTTAACAGTTCCCTCATCTTTGGCATAGTCATTTCACTATTCTCAGCTTTTATGTCTTCCTTGCCAGCATTATTAGTAAGACCATTTCTCCTCCTATTCCTAGTTGTATATTACACGGTATAATTAAAGTTGTAGAAACTGCTGAGTTTTTCACTGGCTTGTCAGAGTGCTAAGCAGATCCAAGCTGACTTTATCTCTTCCTTGGCTGGTAGACTTGTTTTATCTAATCTATGGATAGTACATGAATCTTGCTTACTCTTTCATAAACATTGCCTTTGTTGACAGGATTGTTTTAGAGTGTGGATACTGAAGCAAGAATGTACCCTCATTTACCACAAGGTAAGTAAATAATAGTTCCTTACAGGAGAGTAGCCACAGCACATGTCATGTAAGTGCAACGGAAGGAAATTACTGAGGCTCATCATTCTTCACGCTGGGGCAGTTGTTGGCCCACCTCCAAGTCAGAAGTTCTCTACCATGGCTTTATTATAGCTCAAAAGATTTCTGATCACCTCACTAGCTGCTAAATTAGTTACTGAGGATAACATTTTAAAGCAATATTATGCTGAAATAATCTCCATTTAAGAAATTAGAGGGCATTTATTGTACAAATCAAAAACAAATACTGGAAAGCTTACAGTTTTCAACAAATGATACTGAGAAAATAGGCTATTTGGTAAAAAGTAAAAATTGTGGTAAAAACAAGCTTCAATGTATAGTCTTCATCATGTGATGAGTTAAATTCTAGATGAGCAAAAATAGTTATACTGAGACAAATTTTAAAACCAAAACAAAATATATGTAATTATTGTATAATTATTTAATTCCATAAATGGCCTTTCTATGCCTAAAATAAGTGATGTACCTCTATGGGTCAGTTGGAGATACACTAACACATTTGATAAATAGACAAAAGAAATGGTAATTTGCAGAAAATTATGCTACGATACTCTTTAATTTTAACACCAATCAGTGGAGTATGTTTATGACACTAAGATACCCTTTTTCAAGGTTTCTGGAAAAGTCACATGGTAACATTTGCTAGGATATTATGAACCTTATTAGAAAGCAAATTTTAGTAGATTTTGAGTATTTGGAGTATTGACTCTTAATGGTTGTTTTTCTTGACTCTCATGTCTTTTTTGAGAAAGTCACTGAAGATGTACATAAATATTTGCTTCCCAGGTTATTACAGTAGTGTTATTTTTAGGAGGGAAAATTGGAATCACTGACCTTTGAAATGATGCTAGCACTAAAGGAATTATGGTGTATCCATAAAATGGAATACTATGTACTCTATAACATTTTTAAATAATTTGACTCTCATAGAAATATTCTTAGTGAAAGTCAGTAAGTAATCACCTAAATGTGATTCTGGCTATGTGTAGATGGGGTAATACTTCTGGAGGAGGGGATTATGTACTGAATACTGTAGTGTGGGTTTCAGTCCCTTCTTTCAATTCTGATGGCACTAATTTCCCCAGCTGCTGCGAGTGTTCGAGTCACCTTGTCCACCTTTTCCCTGGGGAGGGCCACACTGGCTTCTGAGCTCTTGGTGCAGCTGCATCCCTGTTCAGCACTTTGCCTGTTCAGCCATGCCTGCCTCCCTCCTCCTGGGTGCTGTTATTGGCAGTGCTCCCCAGCAAGCCTGTGTGAAATCTCAGTCTCTTTCTTGGAGTATCTGACCTGTAATAGATTACAAGGGATTTCTGCATTTTTTTCTTACAAATCTTGTGGTGTCTTTTGCTTAAAATCAGGCAAAAATCTATTTAGAAAGAGTAGTAACTTTAAAAAATGGTGTTAGATTTTTTTTTTTTTTTAAACAGAGTCTTGCACTGTTGCCCAGTCTGGAGTGCATTGGCATGATCTCAACTCACTGCAACCTCTGCCTCCCAGGTTCAAGTGATTCTCCTGCCTCAGCCTCCCAAGTAGCTAGGATTACAGGCATGAGCCACCACACCCAGCCTTTTATTTATTTATTTGTTATTATTATTATTATTATTTGCATTTTTAGTACAGATGGGGTTTCACTGTGTTGGCCAGCCTTTTCTCAAACTCCTGACCTCGTGATCCACCCGCCTTGGCCTCCCAAAGTGCTGGAACTACAAGGCATGAGGTGCTGTGCCCAGGCTTGTGTTAGATTTTTTAATTCATCTAGCAGAAATGGTGCTTTTAAATGTCTGCCTTTAACATAATATTTGCTGTTCTTATTATACTTTAAAGAACTGGCCAAGTTTAAGGCCAAAGTGGCCTGCATCACAGAGTATAAAGCAGATCTCTTTGCCTTCAGAACTGAAGGACAGAGGACACAATTTTTTCAATACCAGAAAGGATTTTCAAGCCGATTTTGTGAAATATTGTAAGCATTGTATTGTTATCATTTTTATTTCATTGTTTTTAAACCTAAATATTTATAGATAACACTAGTCATATTTGCTTCTAAAGCAGAATGAGGTTTAAACTATAAAAAAAATTTTTTTTTGAGGTGGAGTCTCATTCTGTTGTCTAGGCAGAGTGCAGTGGTGAGGTCTCGGCTCACTGCCACCTCTGCTTCCTGAGTTCAAGCAAATCCTCAGCCTCCTGAGTAGCTGGGATTACAGGCACGTGGCACCACACCCAGCTAATTTTTTTTTTCTATTTTTAGTGGAGATGGGGTTTCACCATGTTGGTCAAGCTGGTACTGAACTCCTGACTTCAAAAGATCCACTCACCTCGGCCTCTCAAAGTGCTGGGATTACAGGTGTGAGCCACTGTGCACGGCCTAAACTATGAATGATTTTCTGAAATGTTTATGAAGACATTTCAAAATGCTTAAAAGGAATCACTGAAGTGGTGATATGTCAGGGTAGATACTGAAGAGTTAAGAACAATGGCAAGTGTTGATTGTACGGGGCTCCTTGCTTGGCTTCACTCTGGATTAATGAGATGCATTAGAAGATAATGAAGGGAGAGAAATTTTGAATACATTAAACGTTCATACTCAGATATGGAGTTCTAGATAAAGGTGGTGAACTGAAAACAAGAAATTCACTGTGCAAAGGAGTTTGTTTAAGCATGATGCAGAATTAAACAGTTCTCAATTTGCTAAGTGGAATCACCTTATCTGAATCTTCAGTGGGTTTTGTAATCCTCGTTTAGAGCAATGAGCTTATTTGACATTGGAACACAGTATTAAAATTTACTATAGGGTGTTAATACTTATGGCCTTTCACAGTATGACAGTTTTCATATCTGTGTGTAACCTAACACTGTCGATAGGTTTCATGTTAACTGAGTGAAACACTGAAAGGGAACAAAAAAAGGCAGGGCGTCTATAGGCACAGAATACATACAGGCATAACTCATTTTTTTGAGCCCTGCAGATACTGCAGTTTTTACAAATTGAAGATTTGTGGGAATCTTGTGTCAAGCAAGTCTTTTGTGCCATTTTTCCAACAGCATGTGCTCTCTTTGGTTCTCTGTGTCACATTTGGTTACTCTTAGAATATTAGAATATTTCAAACTTTTTCATGATTATTATATGTGCTGTGGTGACCTGCGATCAGTGAGCGTTGATGTTACTGTTGTAATTGTTTTGGACTCCATGAATGCACCCATATAAGATGGCAAACCTCATTGGCAAATGTTGTGTGCTCTGACTGATCCACCAGTCAGGTGGTTTCCCATCGCTTCCTCTCCTAACGCCTCCCTAGTCCGTGAGACACAATATTGAAATGAGGCCAGTTAACAGCCCTCCAGTGGCCTCTAAGTGTTCATGTAAAAGAAAGAGTTGCAGTCTGCTCACTTTAAATCAAGTTAAAAATGATGAAGCTTAGTGAGGAAGACATGTTGGCAGCTGAAAGCTAGGCCAAACAGTTTGCCAGGTGGTGAATGCACAGGAAAAGTTATTGAAGGAAATGAGAAGTGCTGCTCCAGTGAACCCACAAATGATAAAAAAGCAAAACAGCCTTATTGCTGATACGGAGAAATTTTGAGTGGTCTGGATAGAAGGTCAAACTGGCCACAACATTCCTGTAAGTCAAAGCTTAATCCAGAACAAAGCCCTAACTCTCTTCAATTCTGTGGTGGCTGAGAGGAGGTGAGTAAGCTGCAAAAGAAAAGCTGAAAGCTAGCAGAGGTTGGCTCATAAGGTTTAAAGAAAGACACAGTCTGTATAATATAAAAGTGCAAAGTGAGCAGCAAGTGCTTGATGTAGGAACTTCAAGTTCTTCAGAAGATCTCGCTGAGATAATTCATGAAGATGGCTACACCCAAAAAACAGATTTTTAATGTAGACAAAACAGCTTTATATTGGAAGATGCCTTCTGGGACTTTGCTAGCTAGAGAGAATTCCATTACTGGCTTCAAAGCTTCAAAGGACAGGCTGAGACTCTGGTTAGGGGCTAATGCAGCTGATGACTTTAACTGAAGCCAGTGCTCATTTACCATTCCAAAAATTCTAGGGCCCTTAAGAGCTATGCTAAATCTGCTCTGCATGTGCTCTATCAGTGGAACAGTAAAGCCTGGATGACAGCATATCTCTTTATAGCATTGTTCACTGAATATTTTAAGCCTACTTTTGAGACTGACTGCCCAGAAAAAAAAGTTCCTTTCAAAATATTACTGCTCATTAACACTGCACCCAGTCCCTCTGAGAGCCCTGATGGAGGTTGTACAAAGACATGAATATCATTTTCATGCCTGCTAATGCAGCATCCATTCTGCAGCCCATGGATTTAGGAGTAATTTCAAGTCTTATGATAATTATTATTTTCTTTTTTGAGAAGGTCATCTTACTGTTGTTCAGGCTTGAGTGTAATGGCACATTCACAGCTCACTGCAGCCTCAGTCTTCTCAGGCTCAGGTGATCCTCCCACTTCAGCCTGCTGAATAGCTCGGACCACAGGTGGTGTACCAGCATGCCTGGCTAATTTTTGTAGGGTTTTTTTTTGCAGAGATGTTTTGTTTCCATGTTGTCTAGGCTGGTTTCAAACTTCTGAGTTCAAGCAATCTGCCCACCTTGGCCTTCTTTAGAGCTTGGGATTACAGGTGTGAGCCACTGCACTCAGCCTTCAAGTTTTATTCTTTAAGAAATATATTTTGTAGGCCAGGCGTGGTGTCTCATGCCTGTAATCCCAGCGATTTGGGAGGCCAAGGCAGGCAGATCACAAGGTCAGGAGATCGAGACCAGCCTGATCAACATGGTGCAACCCCATCTCTACTAAAAACACAAAAATTAGCTGGGCGTGGTGGTGTGTGCCTGTAATCCCAGCTACTCAGGTGTCTGAGGCAGGAGAATCACTTGAACCAGGAAGTCAGAGGTTCCAGTGAGCCGAGATCGCACCACTGCACTCCAGCCTGGCAACAGAGCAAGACTCCATCTCAAAAAAAGAAATAATTACATTTTGTAAGGCCATAGCTGCCAGAGATAGTGATTCCTCTGATGGATCTGGGCAAAGTAAATTAAAAACCTTCTGGGGAAGATTTACTGTTCTAGGTGCCATTAAGAACATTTGTGATTCATGGGAAGAGAACAAAATTAACATTAACAAGACTGGTGGAAGAAGTTGATTCCATCTCTCATAGGTGACTTTAAGGGGTTCGGGATTTTAGAGGACGAAGGAACTGCAGATGTGGTGGAAATAGCATGTGAACTAGAATTAGAAGTGAAGCCTGCTGGCTGGGCACAGTGGCTCATGCCTATAATCCCAGCACTTTGGGAGGTCAAGGTGGGATCACCTGAGGTCAGGAGTTTGAGACCAGCCTGACCAACATGGAGAAAGCCCATCTCTACTAAAAATACAAAACTAGCCGGGCATGGTGGTGCACGCCTGTAATCCCAGCTACTTGTGAGGCTGGGGCAGGAGAATTACTTGAACCCAGGGGGCAGAGGTTGCAGTGAGTGGAGATCCTGTCATTGCACCCCAGCCTGGGCAACAAGAGTGAAACTCTGTCTCAAAAAAAAAAAAAAAAAAAAAAAAGGAGCCTGCAGATGGGACTGAACTGCTGCAATTTCATGATCAAACATGAACAGATAAGGAGTTGCTTCTTACAATGAGCAAAGAAAGTCGTCTCTGAAATGGAACCTACTCCTGGTGTAGATGTCGTGAATATTGTTGAAATGACAAAAGATTTAGAATATTCCATAAATTTACTTCATAAAGCAATGGCAGGCTTTCAGAGGATTGATTCCGATTTGGAAAGAAGTTCCACTGTGTGTAAAATGCTATCCAATAGCATCATACCTCCCAGAGATCTTTTGTGAAAGAAAGATTCAACTAACTTTTAAATGCATTGGGAAATGAAGACATTTGTGTAACTTCACTTTATACTTCCATGATTATGGTGGTCTGGAATTGAACCTACGGTATCTCCCACAGATGTCTGTATGCCACTAAGCTTTAAACTTAAATTTGCGTTGTCAGATTAGATTCAATTCATGATAAATTGAGCACATTACTAGTGAATTAAAAATTTTGCTAATTCACTAATTCCTATTCCCAGTAGTATTTTTAGTTTCTTAAAAAAACTATCCTCGCCACTGTATCCCTCCCCTCACCACCTGTGTTATAATCTTCCAAGCTTTATGGTAGTAACCTATTTTTTAAATTTTGCCAATATTTTAGTTTTGAGAAATGTTAAGTCCTTGATTGTGTGTTTCTTTATACTAATAATGCTGTTTTGATTGTGTGTATCACCTGCCCTCTGACCCACAAATACCACAATCTCGCGGGCAGCTGTGTTTATTCTCCCCTCCCTGTGCTCCGTGGCTTACATGGTTCTCCACTGATTCGAACTAAGCCTTAGGGGAGTTGTCCTCATTGCGAGTTGTAGTCCGCACCTATTGGTATTTATAGTTTGTTTACATTGCTACTAATTTGATACCATGGAGAATGGTTTTTGTACCTAATTCTCAAGTACCTTTTATTTGTTTGCAATAGTGTTCTTCTGAAACATAATCAATAGTTTCATGAGGAAGTTGTAGAAATTCTTCAGGAGAATTCTGAGCCCTTTTCTAGGATTTAGTGAAGTGCTATTACATAGAACTAAATATAATGCGAGTCATTCACATGATTTAAAACTTTCTAGTTATAACATTAAAAATACAGGGAAACAAGTGAAAATCATTTAGTGGTAATACTTTAAAATATTTCAATGTGTGATCAATATAGAAATTATTAATGGGATATTTGGAATACTTTTTGTGCTGAGTTTTCAAAAGTCAATGTGTATTGTTCACCTACAGCACATCTGAATTTGGACTGGCCACATTTCAAGTGTTACATGTGTCTAGTGGTTATTGTGCTGGACTTTGTAAGCCTAGAATTTGTTTCCTGATGATAATCTTCCCATATTTAAATTTATAGCCAATAAATTACTCTTATTTTACCTTTGTATTTTAAAAGCTCCCTTTAAGATCTTCCCCTTGCCTTTTTTTTTTTAAACACAGGGTCTCTTTTTGTGACCCAGACTGGTATGTAGTGGTAAAATTATAGCTCATCGTAACCTTAAATTCCTGGACTCAAGCAATCCTCTTGCTTCAGCCTCCAAAGTAGCTAGGACTACAGATATGCACCACCACACTTAATTTTATTAATCTTTTTTTATAGGGATAGGTTGTTTCTATGTTGCTCAAGCTGGTCTTGAAATCCTGGGCTCAAGCAATTCTGCCTCAGCCTCCCAAGGTGGTGGGATTATAAGTGTGAGCCACTTCACTTGACCTATTTTTTGTTTGTATAACAGATCATAAATATTGGAATATAGGAAAAACTATTTTTACTAAAAGCCAAATAAATATTAAGAAAATAGATATGCACCTGAATATTTTTTACAGGTGTTGAAGAAGAAGAAAAGGTTGCAGAGATGTGTAAAATAAAGTCTACAACCCAGGTGAATCAGATGAGTGTAGATGTTGTAGAAATGGCAACACTCGGAAAAAAACAGTTGAGGACTATTTCTGCTTTTGCTGTCTTAAAAGCAACACACTTAAATTTTATAAAAGATACCTGATATAATAGAGTTTTTAAAGGGTAGACTATGTTATGTCATTGACTTAACAATCATATAACAACATTTTCACAAGCTGAATGGATGAGGAATAACCTTACTTTCCACTTCCTTTTAGGAGGAACCCAAGAAATACGCCAGGGTAGGACCATCTTAAAGACAATAATGCAAGAAATCAGACATCTCTCTCTCTTTTTGTGTAGTTTTTAAAGTCAGATATTTAATATACTTTACATTTTGGCCCTTTGGATCGGTGTCAGGTTTAGAACTTCTTACATGTGAATAGGGTGCTGTAGTGTTAAGTAATTTTAAAACCACATGTTACAAAAGATCACGTATGCCTTTATTAAGCCACAATAAGGTAGTGATGATTTTGTTTTTTAATCTTAAAATTTAATGACATTTATCTGCTTTTTGCCTCTCCCAGGGAAAGCTTTACAAAAACCCACAGAGGTACCTGTACCATATGAGAAGATGCTACAAGACCAGTCAGCTTTGATAGTACAGGGGCTTCCAGAAGGTGTTGCCTTTAAACACCCTGAGAATTATGATCTTGCAACCCTGGAATGGATTTTGGAGTACACAGCTGGGATTTCATTTATTATTAAGAGGTGAGGTGCTTTCTCCCTTCGTGCCCATCAATGGTTTATTCATATAAATTTGAATATTCAGCTTATGTTAATATAGTTTAAAAATTCTTGGTTAAGACAATTCATTTAAATTCATGCTGTCATTAATTTTATGTATTCATGTGTAGTTTTATTAGATTTGTTTTATTGCAGATCTTTCTTAGAGCCAAAGAAGCATCTAGATTAGTGATTGCTTTGCTTCCTTGATAGCTGGCTGGCTTCCTAATCCCCTTTTGCTAGATTTAAATACACTTTAATGGTTTCTCTTTTATTTTCTTTGAGAATATGATGTAAGACATTTTCCTATGGGCTGCTTAGATATTTATATAATCCAAGAAAAGTTCATTGAGCTGAAAAAGTAGAGACTTGTTTTTTGTTTTCAGATCAGCTACTTGTTTTCTACATAAGATCATAGATCTGCGCCCACTTCCAAGCATCATGAGTAGGATTAATGACCTAATGTCACTGAATAGGCATGGCATTTTTGGGCACAGCTTTGGGTGGGGAGGGGATGCACAGCTGTGTATAAGCATTATGGCTTTGGAGGGCTCGGAGTCTCGTGGAAGGGAGAAAAGTTTGTAAAATGGCCATGGCAAGAGCCTCACATCCCTGCTGTAAGACTGGTTCAGAGAAAGTGCTGCGAATGTTCATTAGGGGTTGGATTCCTATAGTTCAGGAAGAATTTCATGAGGAAGAGGGCATTTACATGAGCCCTTGGGGAATGAGAAGGATTTCAGCTTCCTTTAGGGAAGTTTAGCCATTTCATTTGAAGAGAAAAAATGATAGAGTGGTACCTTTTGGAGTCAATTTTTTTTAGACTTTTGAAATAACAAATATCATTGGAATACTCTTCACAATGTAAGGATAAAAGGGAAAATAATATGTACATAAACACACACATTTTGTTTTCTGTTAACCTTTGTTTTATTCTCATTGTGGTGAAAAGGTTAATTTTTAGCAGCTTTATTGAAGTATAATTGATGCACCATAAAATTCACCTGTCTGAAGTATTTAATTCACTGATAGTAAATTTAGAGTCTTACATTTTTTTAAATGATTTTGCAACAATCATCACAATCTAATTTTAGGATGCTTTTATGACCCCATCTCTGAATTATGATATAGAAATTGAGTACATAGTGTGTTTCCTATTGAAATTAGTTTTTTTTCACTGAGCATAATTCACCTCAGGCTCAGTGGGCTTGTTGCGTGGATCAGTAGCTCCTTTTTATTGCTGAGCATTAAGTATTCTATGAACATACCAACTGTTTAATCATCACTTGATGATTCTGTTGTTTTCATTTTTTGCTGTTATGAATAATGCTACAGTGACCATACTTGAGCAACTTTTTGTCTGGACATATACCTTAGTATCTCTTGTATATATACCTAGGGGTATAATTACTAGGAATAGGGTACATTTACACTGAACTTTTAAGAAACTGACCGGTTGTTTTCCCAAGTGGCTGTACCATTGTATATTCCAGTAGCACATTATGAAGGTTCAGATTCTCCACATTGCTGCCAACTTACTGTCTTCTTGATGTTAGCCATCATAATAGGTGTGAAGTGGTATCTCATTTTGGTATTTTGTTTTGTTTTGTTTTATATTTCTCTAGTGACTATTGATGTTGTGTTACCTTTTACTTTTTTTTTTTGAGACAGGGTCTCACTCTGTCACTCAGGTTAGAGTCCAGTGGCATGATCTGGGCTGAGTGCAGCCTCAACCTTCCTGGCTCAGGTGATCCTCCTGCCTCATGTCTTGAGTAGCTAGGACTACAGGTGTGCACCATCATACCTGGCTAATTTTTGATTTTTTTTTTTTTTTTTGTAGAGATGGGGTTTCCTCACATTGCCCAGGCTGGTGTCAAACTCCTGGGCTCAAGCAATCCACCTGCCTAGGCTTCTCAAAGTGCTTGGATTACAGGTTTGTGTTATCTTTCAATGCGCTTATTGGTCATTTACAAATTTTTTTGCAGTAATGTCTACTTAGATCCTCTTCCCATTTTAAAATTGGGTTTGTCTTTTGTTGAGTCATAAGAGTTTTTTACATAGCCTCAATATAAGTCCCTAATTGATTGATGATTTTGAAAAAATTTGCATGTGAGACAGGATGTCACACTTTCATGCAGGCTGTAGTGTAGGATTTGGAAATATTTTCTCCAATTCTAATAATTCTACATTATTCTTAATATATAAGTTGTCTTCTCCCTTGCTTGGTAGTATCGTTTTGAGGCAGAAAAGTTTTTAATTTTGATAGAAACCAGATTATTCTCTTGGCACTTGTGCCTTTGACTTCATTTTTTTTTTTTTTTTTTTTTTGAGACAGTTTCGCTCTGTCACCCAGGCTGGAGTGCAGTGGCATGATCTCGGCTCACCGCAACCTCCACCTCCTGGGTTCAAGCGATTCTCCTGCCTCAGCCTCCTGAGTAGCTGGGACTACAGGCGCCCGCCACCACACCCGGCTAAGTTTTTGTATTTCTAGTAGAGACAGGGTTTCACTGTATTAGCTAGGATGGTCTCTATCTCCTGACATCGTGATCCACCTGCCTCAGCCTCCCAAAGTGGTGGAATTACAGGCATAAGCCACTGCATCCAGCCTTGACTTCATATTTAAGAAACCATTGCCTAACCCAAAGGCATGAAGATTTTATTTTGTTTTACTTTTTTTTTTTTTGGTGACATGTCTATGTAAGTGTCTGCCCATTTAAAAATTGTGTTTTTCTTCTTTTACGAGTTACAGGAGTTCTCGATATGCTCTGGATACAAGTCTTTTATCAGAAGTAAGATTCTGCACATACTGCTTCTGTCTGGCTAGTTGTTTCATTTTCTTGGTGGTGTCCCTTATTGCTCAAAAGCTTTTGTTTTGGTGAAATTCAGTTTTTCAAGTTTTCCTTTTATTACTATGCTCTTGGTGTTGTATCTAAAGAATCTTTGTCCAACCTAAGGTCACAAAGGTTTAGACTTAGATCTTCTTCCTGAAATTTATAGTTTTAGCTCTTATGTTTAGGGGTAAGATCCATTGTGAGTTATTTTTTGCACATATTGTGAGGTAAGAGTTTAAAGTCACCATTTTGCATGTGATGTACCAGCAGCATCTGTTGAAAAGACCATTCCTTCTCTGCTTACTTGCCATAAAACCTTTTTCAAAAATCAACTCTTGGGCTCAAGTAGTTCACTCAACTTGGCCTCCCAAAGTGCTAGGATTACAAGCATGCATCACCGTGCCTGGTACTAGTTTGTATATTAAGGGATTTATAGCTTATATGTTCCTTTAAGCTATATAACCTGTCTTTAGGTTATATGTGGGGTCCAAAAATTTTAATCATATGAAACACAATTTTACATTGTTGAAAAATAGTCAATGTCTCTGGGCTTAACCTCTTGCAGAGGGTGGGAGCCAGTTGTCAGTTGCATTATATCTGAATTCTCACTGTTGCAGATCCTGCCATTGTGGGGCTTTTAACTATGCTTTCACATGAGTTCAAAAAATATCTTATGGCTCAGTGTGATGACTCATGCCTATAGTCTCAGCACTTTGGCAGGCTGTGGCATGTGGATTGCTGGAGACAAGGAGTTAGAGACCAGCCTGGGCAACACGGCAAAACCCCACCTCTATCAAAATACAAAAATTAGACAGGTGTGGTGGTGCATGTCTGTAGTCTCAGCTACTTAGGAGGCTGAGGCAAGAGGGTCGCTTGGGTCCAGGAATTGGAGGCTGAAGTGAGCTAGGATTATACCATGGCACTCCAGCCTGGGCAACAGAGCAAGATTCTATCTCTAAAATATAAAAATTTATATTCTACAGTGAATTTCATATTTAGGATTTATCCAGAAACACAGGATAATTTTATAAAAAATCTTAATTCATTTTCTCATATTATTGAACTAACTAGAAATAATGTATCATCTGGGTGTCTCATGAAAAAGCAGCAGAAATCCTTAATATAATTGGTTGGAATATTATTGCAAAGGCCAACCCATTATTGTCTAATAGTAAACCACTAGAAGCATGCTTCATATGAAAAAGATACACACTCCCACCAGTTGCTCATCAGTTTCCTAGATGTATAAACCAGTACAGATTAGTTGCAAATAATTAGAAAGTAAAGGGCACATCTTGTTTTGCAGGTCATATGATTGTATATGTAGGAAACCAGTCAGAATCATTTAGAAAATGAATAAAATCCAAACATTTATAATCTGACATTACTTTTAATAAATGTTAAAATCCAGATATAATAAGACTTTAGATTAAAAGCAGGTGAAAAAAGAAACACTTCAGTTTCTTGAAATGTTTCCTGAGCCTACCTTTAACTAAAAATCGAAAAGTTTTGTATGGCAAAACCATCTAAAATGTGTCAAAGGACGTGTAAGAGAAAGGGTAGGCTATTTGCAAGAAAATGACAAAGGGTTTGATTTACGAAGAACGAATCCAGGCTGGGCATGGTGGCTTACACCAGTAATCCCAGTCATTGAAGGGCCAAGATGGGAGGATTGCTTTCACTCAGGAGTTTGAACCCAGCCTAGGCAACAAAGGAAGACTCCATCTATATGTTGTTTTAAAAGAAGCAAGCCACAAAATAAATGAGCAGAGACTCAAGAAATTCTCAATCTCGTTAAAGAAGTGGGGATAACAATCTAAGAATGAAAATGTTTGACACCTAGCAGGTTGGCAGACAGTAAATTTTGCTTATGCTCAGTCTCAGCAAAGGGTTTGGAAAAACAGGCAGGTTAAGACATTGTTTATGTGCATATAAACTGTAGCTATCTTGTGCATGGTACGTTGACAATATTTATTATTTTAAGATGCATGTATTCTTTAACCCATTGCTGCCTTATAAAAAAGATAATTAACCTACTGTTCCATTCTGGAAATTCCATCCATGTTGCCAGTAAACACAAAGTGATAGATCTGTTTATATTCATGTGGAAGTACCTGTAAGATAGACTACAAGAGAAAAGCTTGATGTAGAAGAGATAAATAATACTGTAATTCTTTAAAATTTTTGTTGTAAAATCATTTACAATTTGAAGCAATTTCAAGCTAACAGAAAGACCCCAGAAAGCATCCATGTAGATGGTGCAATAAACTTTTTCCTGTACTATTTGACAGTAAGTTGCCAGCACAATGCCCTATCTCTCAGCTACTTCCATGTGTAATTTTTACAAACAAGGACATTGGCCTGTGTAACCACAGTACAGTCAGCACAATAAGGAAAATCATCGTGTGCATGCACACATTTACATCTGTATTTGTCTGTGTACTTACACATGTTGAAGGCCAAAAGCTCATACCTGTATCTTCAGTTCTGTTCTTAACATCCAGAGCTTGGGTTGGTTTGTTTGTTTCTTTTCCTATTTACAATGCTTTCATAGAACCATGCCACCCAGATATTCTCGGCCTATTGATTTATTTCATCATTTACCCAGTATTTATCTTGTGTACTAGTGCCACCATTGAGCCTCCTGCTGCTGAGCCCATGTCCTTTACTCACATGGGACACTCTTTGGTGGGCTGTTACCACCTTGCCTGCCCCTCATCTGCCTCTGTCTGCCCAGGCCCTAGGCAACTTCTCCTGCTCCTCCTAAACCTTCTCATCTTGCTGTGTTTCCCGGGGCAATCACCTGCCACACTTAGCACCATCTAATGGCATCTGGAATGAATTGTTGGGGAGAGGGGAAGAGCTGTGATAATGTGTGTGTGTGCATGTATGTGAATGAGCTTTTATGTATGTAAATGTATTTTGGGAGAGCTGCAAGAAACCATAGAAGTATTATTATTTTTTGTTTTGTTTTGAAATGAAGTCTCACTTTGTTGCCCAGGCTAGAGTGCAGTGGTTTGATCTCAGCTCACTGCAACCTTCGTCTCCCAGGTTCAAGTGATTCTCCTGCCTCAGCCTCCTGAGTAGCTGGGATTACAGGTGAGTGCCACCATGCCCAGATAAGTTTTGTATTTTTAGTAGCGACTGGGTTTCACCATGTTGGCCAGGCTGGTCTTGTACTTCTGACCTCAAATGATCCACCTGCCTTGGCCTTCCTCCAAAAATTAGAACACTAAGGTGTCTAAGGAACAAATCTAGGTCATGGCTGCCACTGCACCCACTCTCATTTTGACTTTGGAGGTGGGATACTGTGTGCTTGGCACTGGCGGCTTTGGGGCATAGTGAAGCTGTCGGTAGTGTCAGAGACATTGTCAACCAGACACGTGTCTTGTTATTGGAGGGCCTTCATTCACCAGGCTGAATGAAGGTACCAAGGAGTGACCTTGATGGGATTAGGGTGCAGACAAGGAGACAAAAAGAAGGCACAGATCCCTTCCCCTTCTCTAGCCTATTGTCTCCACATAGTGTGTTCTTGTGGTAGAGACTCACGCAAAGCCAGTTGCTGTGCAGAGCTCAAGCTTCACCAGAAACCCAGAGGATGGGTTTGCAACTAAGAGACATCAGCTTTAATGGCTAGTCCTGGCTGCCCTCTGGCTACTCAGGAAATATACACACCCTTCCCTGCACATTTGACTTTCTGTACAACAACACAACTGTTCCATCCAACAGAGTGCAACTTCCTACAAAGAAATCAATTTTTACCATCTGCTCAAAATGAGGAGACGTAGTGTTCCAACAGCCACACCCATCTCTGGGAGACTGACTATCTAGTCATGAGGCGTATCACTTACTCTTCAAATTCAATCCTAACCTATTTGAGTAATCTCTAGTCTAATGGACAAATGGAAAAGAAACCTCCAATAAAACTTCTGTAAAATACTGCGCATAGAAGAAGGGAATAGTTAATATATGCAAATACATAATCTGCATACAAACACATTCATAGCAGGAAAGGAAGAAAATACGTACAGTTGCTACAGTCTACTTTTCTGCAACTTACAAGACTTTTTTTGGATTTAACCTTTTTAGTTCATACATTTGTAGGTTTTTATAGGGTAACTGTGATATTTGTTATATGTATCATCTGTGTCATGATGAAGTCAGAGTAGTTGGGGTGTCCATCACCTTGAGTATTTATGATTTCAAGTCCTCTCTTCTAACTAATTTGGAATGTACAATGCATTGTTGTTAACTATAGTCATTCTCATCTGCTGTCAATTGTCACAAAAATTTATTCCTTAGTTTACTACGCTTACATTAATGTTTTTAGTTTTTTTGTTGTTTTTTTTTGTTTTTTTTTTTGAGACAGTCTTGCTCTGTCGCCCCGGCTGGAGTGCAATGGTGCGATCTCGGCTTACCGCAAGCTCTGCCTTAGGGGTTCACGCCATTCTCCTGCCTCAGCCTCCCGAGTAGCTGGAACTACAGGTGCCCACCACCACACACAGCTACATTTTTGTATTTTTTGTAGAGACGGGGTTTCACCATGTTGGCCATGCTGGTCTTCAACTCCTGACCTCAGGTGATTTGCTTGCCTTGGCCTCCCAAAGTACTAGAATTGCAGGCATGAGCCACCACACCCAGCCTACATATTCAATAACAAAGATTTCATTTGCCTATTTTGACCTTCAAATGAGAGGAATTACCCAATATGCACTCTTCTGTATCTGGCCACAAAGGTGGCTTCAAATTACCTGTCCTAATTGTGGGCAAACCTTTATGCAGAAAGGTGTGCTTTGTCCTCTTGTCAATAGAAGAGATTTATGAGGAGGAAAAAAAAATCAATGTATCTCATTATTGAAATTGCCAAAAATTATACCATCTCTACTCTGGAATATTGAGTTATTAAAACTGATGTATATAACAGTGGTTTATAATAGTAGTTTTAATATTCAGTGAACATGGATTGTGACTAAATTTTCTTTAATTCTAAAGATAAGAATTTGCTGGAGAAAAAATTTGGCAGCAAATAATTGCAGAATATTAATAAATGGTTAAAACTTTGTCTCGGTTGGGACTATAGGTGATTCCTACACTCTGCTACCTGGTGAACTTTTGTCCTTTCAAAGACTTTTAAAGTCTTTATTTAAAATGGGTATTCATTGCTGTATTTATAGGGAGCATGGAGAGGATTTCCCTACACAGTTTAGCTGAAAGCCCTGACATGCAATCATATAATTTCATTTGCTTTTATAGTCATTTCCCTGGAAGTGGCAGCTGTGACAGTAAAGGAAGAATCAGAAGATCCTGATTATGATTATATCACATTCAAGGTAATAAGGGTGAATGCAATTTTTTAATAAAAAAAATTTGTGGTTAAAATTAAAGTTTATCAGTTGCTTTAACTTAAATAGTATTTTATTGATTAGTTCTTGATGGACATCTATATTTGTAAATAAGTCACTGGGATAAAACATTTTAAAAATGTGGATATAAGGTCAACTCACACAATTCAGGGGATATGTAAAATAGTCATTCATGTTTGTAAAAGTATAAGCACAAGTTGTGGCACAATTTAGAATTCAATCCCAGTTTCTAGTGTTGCAAAATAAACCTATTAGGCAAATGCAGATATAGTCAGCTTAATTTTTTATCTATGTGTAATTGTAATAAATTAAACATTTGAAGTATAAAATCCAGTTTTGGCATGTACATACCTAATAAACCATCTTCATTGCAACCGAGATAATGAAATATCCATACCCCCGAAAGTTTTCTCATGTCGCCTTGTAATTCATGACCCTGCCCAGTATTCAGGCAACATGCTGATTTTCCATTTTAGCTTAATTTGCATTTTCTAGAAAGTCATATATATGATATCATATGATATGATTAAATGTGGACTATTTTCATGGGGTAGGGACTATTGTGACTTCTTTACTTCACATGATTGTTTTGAAATTCATCCACAATGTTGCATGTATCAGTAGGAGATTCTATTTTGTTGTTGATTAATATGCTGTTGTATACATGGGTCAAAATTTGCTCATTCCTTTGTTTGTTGATAGCCATTTGGGTTCTTCCAGTTTGGGGTTGGGGCTACTGCAGGTAGAGCTACTATGAATGTTTGTGTACAAGTTTTTGTGTGGACATAGGCCTTCATTTCTCTTGAGTAGATATCTGGGAATGGAATAGCTGGGATCTATAACTTTTGAAGGAAATGCCAAACTGTTTTCCAAGGCACCTGCATTATTTTACATCTCCATCAGCAGGGTATGAGAGTTTTGGTTGACATTCTTGTGAATACTTGTATGGTCAATCTTATTTTTACCCTCTTAAGTTGATATGCAGTGGTTCCTCATTGTAGTTTTAATTTGCAATTGCCTAACAGGTTTATTTTCTCTCAGAGGATAGCTTTATCAGGTCTAGAGAACTCTGAAAGTGTTTTGAGTAAACCTTCTGGCTCGTAATTATGTGAATATGTGTATACACATGTTAGGCCGTGTCCAAGTGAATTGCATGTTTTTAGCAGTCAGTTTTCAGTAATTGTCTGCTTGTGACAATAGGAATTAGTTACATTCTTTTTTTTAATAAGTTGGTAAAATATGCCAGTGAAACCATCTGGGCCTTGAGGTTTCTCTCATAGAAAGTTTCCTAACTCCCTTTGTTACAAAAATTACCCTCATCTGGGTTTGCACCCTGTTGTCCCAGCCACTCTCAAACCTGAGGTGGGAGAATCACTTGAGCCTGGGAGTTCTAGGCCAACCTGGGCAACATAGTGAGATTCCATCTCTTGGGAGGCTGAGGTGGGTGGATCATCTGAGGTCAGGAGTTAAGACCAGCCTGGCCAACATGGTGAAACCCCGTCTCTACTAAAAATGCAAAAACAAAACAAAACAAAACAAAACAAAACAAAAACCCAGCATGGTGGCAGACACCTGTAATCCCAGCTACTCGGGAGACTGAGGCAGGAGAATCACTTGAACCTGGGAGGCGGAGGTTACAGTGAGCCAAGATCTTGTCATGTCACTCCAGCCCAGGCAACAAGAGCAAAACTGTCTTAAAAAAATGCTTTTAATCGATACAGGGCTATCAGTTTTCTCTTCTGTGAATCTTGTAATGAATCTCAAAATGGATATACAACACATTTTCCTATTTAAGGTAAAGTACACATTTATACCTTAGAATAGTCAGAAGTCAGTTTCTTATTGTATAATTAGTAATGAAAATATTGATAAGGTCATGTTCATACTTAGTACTGATAAGAATTCTGAAATATTCATTTGTCCATCTGTAAGTTTTATGAATTGATTACCTTTTTTGGAATTTTTCATAGTGTTCCCAAACTTGATACTCATAGGCTATTTGTAACAGGTTTTACTTTGATCTACTCTGGTTTTTAGAACATGAAATGGATTTTCTTTAGGTCTAGCATATAACCATACATTCAATTGTTTCAGATTTTAAAACAACAAAAAGGACCTATAGAATCATTGCTTAATTTGAAACTAGCCCGGTCGTCCCATAGACGATAAACGTAGAAATTTAACCCTGCTGTTAAAGCTTGAAACTATACTTATCTGCCTTCCCTCCTCAAAAAAACATCTTCAGAAAGTATCAAAGATCTGAAATTCACCATATCACAGTACCCAGATGCTTCCTTGCTCCTCCCTATTTCCTGTTTTCTTATACATTGTTGCATTTCTTCCTGCCAAATAGACTCCTAGTTTTAGTCAGTGAAGGAGATGGATTTGAGACTGAGCTTCCCTCTCCTTGGCTGCAGCACCGGGTTACAGCCTTCTTCCTTAGCAATACTTGTCATTGGGTTTCTGTGCAGTGAGCAGCAGGACCTAGACCAAACCTCTTTTGTTTCAATAACGACATGAACAACCATCTTAACTGTTCTTCTTTAGTGAAAAATTTTACTTTTTAACTCCTGGCCCATTTTTCACTGTCTCTCCTTTCTTTGACCTCACATCTCTTTTTGCTTTTTGATTTTACAGTCAAGAACTTAATGCTCCATAAATTCAAATTTTACGGTTAAAAAAAGAGGAATAACTAATTTACACTCCCAGAAAATGTGGCACATATACACCATGGAATACTATGCAGCCATAAAAAGGATGAGCTCATGTCCTTTGCAGGATGAAGCTGGAAACCATCATTCTCAGCAAATTAACACAAGAACAGGAAACCAAACGCTGCATGTTCTCACACATAGGTGGGAGTTGAACAATGAGAACACATGGACACAGGGAGGGAAACATCACACACTGGGGCCTGTGTGAGGTGGGAGGCTACGGGAGGGATAACATTAGGAGAAATACCTAATGTAGATGACAGGTTGATGGGTGCAGCAAACCACCATGGCACGTGTATACCTGTGAAAGAAACATGCATGTTCTGCACGTGTATCCCTTAAAAAAAAAATCTCCTAACTCAGAGGATTGCTTTGAGGATTAAATAAGATAATGCACATAAAAAAGGGAAAGAAAGTGTGTGTAGAGAAAGTGTATTTTTTATTGAATTAAAGGTTGATTCATAGGTATAGGTTTATAGATTTACCTAGAGGTTTGAGTTCATGTGCATTTTTACAATATAAGTGGAAAAGAATCTGAAGGTTATTGTGACATGATAAAGCTGGATATTGAAAACCAAAAAGATTTGGCCTCAGTATGGCATTAGTCGCTGAATGACAGTTTTTCAGACTATAATCGTTGCTCTTTAAAAATTAAGAGAAAATATAACATTTGTATTACTTTTATTACAATTTCTGAATTTAGTTATCAGTAGATAAGACAAAATAGATAAGCATCTGCTTCCCTTCCCCCTAAGTGATGCATTCTTACTCAGATCTAATGTATGTTTATTCATACCTGAAGGCAGTGTTTTTCAATCTTTTCCATGTTCGTAGCTCAGGTCTTTAAGGACAGAGGATGCATATTGGGGGCAGCTTGCGTTCTTAATCCTAAGTGGCTCTCTGATGTCTTAGGTTCTTTCTTTCCTATTTGTGAGGATTAAGGAGATAATGTATGCAAAAGGCATGTTACTATTATTATTGGTTGTATTAATAATCTGCTTTCTAATGTGAAAATCTCCTTTGTATTAAATAACCCTGGCAGATGATCCTTGACCCTTATGTAGAAAAGTACTCATTGTCTAGTGAAAAAATTTACTGCCCGTTCCTAGCTGTGAGACTTTGAGAAAGATACTTGGCCTTGAATGACTCACAGACTTTCATGAAGCTTAGTCAGATAATGGCTATAATGTATCCAGCACAGCATTTGATAGGTAATATATACCATTCCATTTCTCTTTGGTTTTTAGAAAGGATTGATTTAAAATGTGTAAAATTCAGTGGCATTTAGTTACATTCACAAGGATTACAACCATCATGACTATGTATTTCCAGAATTTTCCATCATCCCAAACAAATTCTGTACCAAATAAGCAATAACTTTCCATTCTCTCCTCCCTGATACCCTGGTAACTTCTTAATCTAATTTTTGTTTCTATGAATTTCCTTATTTGGGTACCTCATATAAAAGGAATTATGCAATACTTGCCCTTTTATGTGTGGCTTATTTCACTTAGCCTAATGTTTTCAAGGTTCAGCCAGGTTGTAACAATATATCTGATAGCATTGATCAGAACTTCATTCTTTTTCGTGGTTGAATAATATTCCATTGCATGTATATGTCACATTTTGTTTATCCCTTCATCTATGGATGGACACCTGGGGTTTGTCCACCTTTTGGTTATTGTGATTAACGCTGCAGTAAATACTGTCCTTGGACTTTCCTTTCTTCTCTTGTCCCGAGCCAACATCAACACTTGCACATCAGCACTCGGCATGTTTCTGAGTTCATTTTTTCAATTCTTTTGGTTATACACCTGGGAGTGGAATTGCTTAGTCATACGGCAATTCTGTGTTTAACTTTTTGAGGAACTTACAGACTTTTTCACAGTGACTGTACCATTTTACATTCCTAGAGAGAATATTCAAGGGTTCTAATCTCTTCACTTCTTCACCAGTGCTTGTTATCTTTTCATTATTATTATAGCCATTCTAGTAGGTGTGATGTGATATCTCATTTTAGGACTGATTTTCTTTCCCTAATAACTAGTGATTTTGAATATCTTATGTGCTTATTGGCCATTTCTATATCTTTGGTGGAATTACTATTCAAGTCTTTTTTTTTTTTTTGACAGAGTCTTGCTCTGCCACCTGGCTGGAGTGCAGTGGTGTGATCTCTGCTCACTGCAGCCTCCGCCTCCTGGGTTCAAGTGATTCTCATGCCTCAGCCTCCTGAGGAGCTGGGACTACAGGTGCGTGCCACCATGCCCAGCTAATTTTTGTATTTTTCATAGAGACAGGGTTTCCCCATGTTGGCCAAGATGGCCTCGATCTCTTGACTTTGTGATCCGCCTGCCTCGGCCTCCCAAAGTGCTGGAATTACAGGTGTGAGCCACCATGCCTGGCCTACTATTCAAGTCTTTTGCCTATTTAAAAGTTTAAACGATAAACTCTGGTCAGCTATATGATTTGTAAATATTTTATCCCATTCTGCAGAGTGTCTGTTCTCTTTCTTTTTAGAGACAGACTCTTGCTGTGCTGTTCAGGTTGGAAGTGCAGTGGCACAATCATAGCTTACTGTAATCTCAAGCTCCTGAGCTCAAACAGTCCTCCCATCTCAGCCTCCTGAGTCACTGGACTTACAGGCGCACACTACCCTGCATGGCTTAATTTTGTTTGTTTGTTTTTGTAGAGACAGAGCTACCTCTTTCTTCATAGGTAGGAGAGTGTTCCATAGTAAAGATTCCCTGGTGATGGATGGATCCAGCTCCCTGTTGAGTCCGGCAAATATTTGAGAGCGGTTGTCATATTGTGTTCTTTCTTCCAGTCCAAAGTCCTCCCAGTTCCTTTAGTCCAAAGGTCAACACATTAAAGGGCCAGTTGCTAAATATTTTAGGCTTCAAAGGCTAAGAGACAAAACCAAGAATGGCATGTAGGTATAACAAGAGAGAAAACAAATTTCCACAAAATTTTAATGAATGAAATTCAAAATATAAATGAGTACAACTTTTTGTAATATAGCTCCATTAAGGAGAAGAATTGGGTTGTTTTGTAGGGGATGGGGTAGGAAGTAGGGGGTAGGGTGATCCACAAGAGGATCTTGTGCTAGAAACCTAGGACTAAGACCAAATATTGAAACAAAAGATGCTCCTATCACCTCTATCACTGAGGACTTTATAAGAGCTTTAGAAGCTCTGTGCCAGGACCAGGGGCGGAGACCAAATGTGTCTTTCTCTTCTTTTGTTTTCTATTTTTGAGACAGTGTCTCACTCTGTGACCCAGGCTGGAGTGCAGTGATGTGATCATAGCTCACTGCAGCCTCAACCTGGGCTCAAGCAATCCTCCCGCCTTAGCCTCCTGAGTAGCCAGGACTACAGGTGCATGCCACCTACGCCCAGATAATTTTTTTTATTTTTTATAAAAATGCCATCTTTTTATGTTGCCTAGACCGGTCTCAAACTCCTGGGCTAAAGCAATTCTCTTATCTCAGCCTCTCATGTAGCTTGGACTACTGGTGTGCATCACAACGACTGGCTAATATTCATTATTACTACTATGTCTGTAGAGGTGGAGTCTCACTATGTTGCCGCTGGTCTTGAACCCCAGGCCTCAAGCAATCCTCCCACCTTGGCATCCCAGGGTGTTGGGATTACAGGTGTGAGCTACCATGCCAAGCAATCACAAGGGTCTTTATAATAGCAAGAGGGAGGTAGAAGAGTCAGAATTGGACGAGATGTGATGATGGAAGCAGAGGTGAGAGAGGCATATTTGAAGATGCTCCACTTCTTGCTTTGAAGACGGAGTTAGGAGCCATGAGCCAAGGAATGTGGGTGGCTTCATGAAGCTGGAAAAGGCAAGGGAACACATTCTCTCTAGGCCCTCCAGGAGAATGCAGCCCTACTGACCCCTTGACTTTAGCCTTGATATGCCTATTTTGGATTTCTGAGCTTCAGAACTGTCAGATAGTAGACTTGTGGTGTTTTAAACCACTCAATGTAGGGTAGTGTGTAAAAGAAGCAAGAAGAAATGAACACAAAGCCAGGCACAGTGACTCATGCCTGTGATCCCAGCATTTTAGGAGGCTGAAGTGGGAGGATGAGTTGAGCCCAGGAGTTCAAAACCAGTCTGCACAACATAGTGAGACCCTGTCTACAAAAAAACCAGTCTTGGTAGCACACACCTGTAGCTTTAGCTAGTAAGGAGACTGAAGCAGGAGGATTGCTTGAGCATATGAGTTCAAAGTTGCAGTGAGCTGTGATTGTGCCACTGCACTCTAGCCTGGGTGACAGAGGGAGGTCTTGTCTCAAAAAAAAAAAAAAGAACAAATGAGTGAGCATGGTGGGAGTGGGGACAGATGGCAATATTAAATAGAGTGTTCAGGGTTGTCCTCATAAGTGAAAATTGAGCAAAGGCTTCAAGGAGGGAAAGGAGCTGTCCAAGGTGCTTAGGGAAGAGCATTGCAGGCAGAAGCAACAGAGAGAAGATGTTAGGAGGGAACTCCTTGGTGTGTCTAAGGCTCAGGATGGAGTCTGGTGCAGCAGAGAGAGGGAGGAAGAGAAGCAAGGGAGGAGGCCAGGGAGTAGCTGGGCTGAGATCAGTACAGATTGTGTAAGCCCTGGGAGGTTATTGCTGGGGCTTTGACTTTTACTCTGACTGAGATGGGAACTACGGGAAGGTTCTGAGCAGCCAAGTGACATCATCTGTCTCCCTATTTAAAAGCACCCCTGGCTGCTGAGTTGGGAAAGACTATAGGAAGATTTTGGTAGAAGCAGGGAGGCCGAGCTGTTACCACATCCAGGTGGGAGATGATAGTGGTCCTGACCAGGGTCATGGTGGCGGTGAGAGATGGTCAGAGCCTGGAGACATGTTGAAGACTGTCAACAGGATCCTGACAGACTGGACATGGGGTGTGAGAGAAGGCAGGGGTCAAGGCTGAGTTTGATTCAAATTGAATTATTAAGTAATTAAAAAAACCCACTGCTGCCTTTCCCAATCCTACTAAGTAAAGGATGCTAGATTAAAGAAATCTCAGGTCAGGCCGGTGCAGTGGCTCACACCTGTAGTTCTAACAGTTTGAGAGGCAGAGATGGGAGTATCTTTTAAGGCCAAGAGTTAGAGAGCAGCCTGGGCAATAATAGCAAGACCTCCTCTCTACAAAAGTAGAAGAAAGAAATTTAGGAAAATAAATATAGCCAGGCATGGTTGTGTATTCCTGTGGTTCCAGTTACTCTGGAGGCTGAGGTGGGCAGATCTCTTGAGGCTAGGAGTTTGCAGTCAGCTTGGGCAACATAGCAAGACTTCTTTCTCCACAAAAATTAAAAAAAAAAAAAAAGCCTGGCATGGTGGAACCTGCCTGCATTCCCAGGTATTAGGGAGGCTGAGGCAGAAGGATCTCTTGAGGCCAGTTGGTCAAGGCTGCAGTGAGCTATGATTACACCACTGTACTCCAGCCTGGGTGACAGAGTGGAACCCCGTCTCAAAATACAAATCCAAATAAAATGAAATCTCAAGTTGGACCAGTCCCATCTAGGCTATGCAGGCCTTTCAACTGCATAGCCACATGATCGGGTTTGTGTGGCTGTGGATGAGGAGACCCCTGCCCAATTGTTGTTGACTGTACAATCGGTTTATTTTTAAATATAGTAATCAAATATATTTCATCATACTTGATGGTCTCAGATATGTGTGGGTTTTGGAATTCTCCTTGGAACAAATTTTAACATCTTATTTGTTCCATCATTTCATAATTTTTTTATCTGATCAATTTTTTTTTTTGAGACAGAGTCTCACTTTGTCACCCAGGCTGGAGTACAATGGCACAATCTCGGCTCACTGCAACCTCCACCTGCCAGGTTCATGCGATTCACCTGCATCAGCCTCCTGAGTAGCTGGGATTATAAGCACACGCCACCACTCCAGGCTACTTCTTTGTGTTTTTGGTAGAGACGGGTTTTTACCATGTTGGCCAGGCTAGTCTGGATTTACAAGTAGATTTACAAGAATCCACCACCATGCCCGGGTAATTTTTGTAATTTTTAGTAGAGAAAGGGTTTCACCATGTTGGCCAGGCTGTTCTCGAACTCCTGACCTCAGATGATTCGCCTGCCTCGGCTTCCCAAAATGCTGAGATTACAAGCATGAGCCACCACGCCCAGCCCTTTTCTTTCCCTTTTATAGACAGAGTCTTGCTCTGTCGCCCAGGCTGCAGTATAGTGACATGATCATGGCTTATTGCAGCCTCAAACTCCTAGTCTCAAGCAATCCTCCTACCTCAGTCTCCCAAACAGCTGGGAATACAGACGTGTGCCACCATGCCCAGCTAAATTTTTTTTTTGTTTTTTATTGTAGAGGCACGATTTTGCTAGGTTGCTCAGGCTGGTCTCAAACTCCTGACCTCAAGTGATCCTCCTGCCTCACCCTCCCATGGTGCTGAGATTACAGGCAGGTATGACTACCTGTGCCCAGCTCCTTATTATTATTATTTTAAATAACAGCTTTATTAAAATGTAATTCACATATCATTCAATTTATTTGCTGAAATCTGCAGTTCAGTGGGTTTTAGAATATTCACAGAGCTGTGCACTGATCACCACAGTCACTCTTAGAACCTTTCCTTACCCTGTAGAGAAATCCGCACCCCTTAGCCACTGCCTCCTACTCCCCCCACCTGCCTTTGCCCCCAGCCTCAGACAACCATTGATTGATTTTTCTGTCACTGTAGATTTGCCTAATCTGGACAAATAGAATTGTACAATATGTGTTCTTTTGTGGCTGGCTTGCTTTCCTTCTTAGTACAATGTCTTCAAAGTTCCTTTATGTTGTAGCGTGTATCAGTATTTCATTCCTTCTGTGGCTGAATAATATTCCATGGTAGAAACACACTGCGTTTTGTTTATCCATTCATCAGTTGGTGCACATTTGGGTTGTTTTCATGTATTGGCCATTATGAATAATGCTGCTATGAAGGTTCCTATACAAGTTTTTGTATGGACATATATATTTTTTTTCCTCTGGGATATATGCCTAGGAGTTAAATTGTTGCATTATGTGATGACTGCACATTTAGGCTCTTGAGAAACTGCCAGACATTTTCTAAAGTGGTTAGATCAGTTGGGTGTGATGGTTCACACCTGTAATCCCAGCTACTTAGGAGGCTCAGTTGGGAGGATGACTTGAGCCCACAAGTTCAAGACTAGCCTAGGCAAGATAGCGAGACCCTGTCTTGATTCCAAAAAAAATCCAATTAAAATGATAAGAAAAGAAATTCCTAAAGTAGTTATGGCACTTTATGTTCCCACCAGTAATGTGTGTGGGTCCAATTCCTCTGCATCTTCACTGACGTTATTTTTTTTTTCTAGACAGGGGCCTGCTGTGTCTCTCAGGCTGGAGGGCAGTGATGTCATTACAGTTCACTGCAGCCTTGAACTCCCAGGCACAAGTGATCCTCTCATCTCAGCCTCCCGAGTAGCTGGGAATTACAGGTACACAGCACCATGACTGGCTAATTTTTATATATTTTTTTTGTAGTGATGGGGTTTGACCATGTTGCCCAGTCTGGTCTCATACTCCTGGCCTCAATGATCTGGCCACCTTAGCCTCCCAAAGTTCTGGAATTACAAGCTGAGGCCCCGTGCCTGGCCTTCACCAACATTTGTTATTATCTGTGTTTTTTTTCCTTTTATACCTTAAAGCAGTATAAGAACAAGTGTCTTCAATGATAGTAAACAAAAAATATAATCCCAGGGCATTGGAAGCTGAGGTGGGAGGATCTGTTGATGCCAGGAGTTTTAGACCAGCCTAGGCAACCTAGCAAAACCTCATCTCTACAGAATATTTAAAAATTAGCTGAATGTGCTGGTGCCTGCCTATAGTTTCTCTCTCTCTCTCTCTCTCTCTCTCTCTCTCTCTCTCTCTCTAACTTTTTGAGGCATGGTCTGGCTCTGTCACACAGGCCAGAGTTCAGTGGTGTGATCATGGATCACTGCAGCCTGAAACTCCTGGGTTGATCAAGTGATCAGTCCTCTCACCTCATCCTACCAAGTAGTGGGGACCACAGGTGCATGCCACCCGGGTCTTGCTATGTTTCCCAGGCTGGTCTTGAACTCTTGGCCTCACGTGATCCTCTCCCCTAGGCCTCCTAAAGTGCAAGAATTACAAGTATGAGCCACTATGCCTGGCCCCCACCCTGCCTATTGAGAACCAAAAGAAGGAACCAAATTCTCCGTAGCTCAACTCGAGCCATTTCCTGATTTCTTCATCAGGAATGAGCTGGTTATTGGGCTGTCCAGGCCTCTCAAGCAGCACAGAAATGAGGTGAGTGTGTTTTCCTGCTGCTCCACTCTGCGGAGAATTAGAGGATGTTTACTCATTTTCAGAGAGAGATGCCTTGTAGGCACCTTAGGATGGAGGAAGCCCTGATTCCAATGTCCTTTTTTTTTTTCTTCAGAAACAGGATCTTGCTCTCTCACCCTGGATGGAGTTCAGTGGTGCAATCACAGCTCATTGTAGCCTCAACCCCCCAGGCTAGCAATCCTACCACGGCCTTTCGAGTAGCTGTGACTACAGGTGAGCGCCATGACACTCAGTGAATTTTCAATTTTTCGGTAGAGGTGGGGCCCGGCTGTGTTGCCAGGGCTGGCCTTGAACTCCTGCACTCAAGGGATTTTCCTGCCTAGGGCTTCCAAAGTATTGATATTACAAGCATGAGCCACTGTGCTCACTCTGTCTGGTTCTTAACTTCCTGCCTCCCTCTTCCATATTTAAAGAACCCTTGTAATTACATGGGCTCACCCAGATACTACAGGATAATCTTGTTTCAAGGACAGCTGATTAGTAACATTAATTCCATCTGCACTCTTAATATCCCCCTTCCTCTGAAACTGTGCTGTGTAACCTAGGACGTGAGCAATTGGTAGGGGGCATTACTTTGGCCACCACAGTGACCAAAAGGATTGGTGGGGGACAGGTTAAAGATACAGGGAAGTTGGAGGAACAACTGACAAGTGAGGTTCCAGAGAGGGCAGGTGAAGAGGAGATTCCAGCAGGGAAATTAGATTATCACTTTCTTTTTCTTTTTTTTCTAAGACAGGGTCTCACTCTGTCACCCCTGCTGGAGTGCAGTGGCATGATCTTGGCTCACCACAGCCTAGACTTCCCAGGCTCAAGGGATCCTCCCACCCCAGACTCCCAAGTAGCTGGAACTACAGTTCTGCACCACCACCATTCCTGGCTGTTTTTTTTTTTTTTTCTTTTGTTAGTAGACACAGGGTCACACCATGTTCCCCAGGCTGGTCTCTAACTCCTGGTCTCCAACTCCTGGTCTCAAGTGATCCTCCTGGTTCGTCTTCCAAAATTGCTGGGATTATAGGCCTGGGTCACCATGCCTGGTCTCTGCTAGTTGTATATTTTATTTTATTTTAAGTTCAGGGATACAAGTGCAGATTTGTTACATAGGCAAGCTTGTGTCATGGAGGTTCATTGTACAGATTATTTCATCACCCAGGTATTAAGCCTGATACCCATTAGTTATTTTTTCCTGATCCTCTCTCTCCTCCCACCCTCCTAGGTCTCTGTGTGTCTATACATTCTCATCATTTAGCACCCACTTATAAATGAGAATGAGAACATGTGGTATTTGCTTTTCTGTTCTTGTGTTAGTTTGTTAAGGATAATGGTCTTTTCAGAAATCTGTAACGATACTTACTAAAATGCAAGTGATATATAAGTGAACTATGATAGGAAGCTAATTGGCACATTTCACCATTTCATCTCACCAACTTGTTATGCTAAAGACCTTTGAAAAGTGTTACATAAAATTTCAGCATTTTTAAAAAGTTAAATTGTAGATTTAAATTCAAAATTATTAACTTCATTTCAAAATTTGCTTCACTGATCTATCACAAAGGAGATAAAAATATATTGTTAATATTGCTATACTCAAAATAGGTTATGATAGCTTGTTTTTTAAAAGAATATGCATTCATCAAGCAACTGGAGATGTAATGCCTGCAATCAGCATTCAGCAGAGGAAAGAGACATTTTGTTTTTTTTAAAAAACTATTTGTATATTAAGTACAGGAAGTCCTTGCTTGATGTTGTTGATAAATGCTTGGCAACTGTGACTTTAAGCAACATTACATACGGAAAGTCTTTGAGTAACATCATTTTCTTCAAAATTGTTTGGTTATGCCATTGATAAGAAAAAAATTGGTTTTGTTATATGTCATTTTGAATAGATATTTAGAATTTCAATGTATTTTCCTATACAAAACTATTATATTTGGTAAATTAATTAGACCATCCTCTTTGCGAATAAAATATTTACCAATTGTGAAGGGAAGAAAGGATAGTGATTTATGGAGAGACAAGGAAGGTTGAAATACATGCTGAATAAAAGAAATGTTTAACTATATGGCACTGGAAACAAACAATTTGAGTTTGAAGGACATATTTTCTCTCAAGGATTATATAATATGAGAAATTAATCAGAAATTGAAGCAATGAATTCAACCAATTACGAAAATTAGTAGAATGGTATGAAGTATAAATGAAGAAAATGAATTTTAAAGTATAGAAAATTTGGAACCATGGTGTATGTCCCACTTAACAACCAGCATAATAAAAATTTGATTGTGCAAAAAGTGATTATTAAATTTACTAATAGAATTTGATGAGGGTAGATATTGAATGCTAGGAGATGGGTAACAGAAAGTTTCAATAAGGCATTTTCTAATAATTTCATAAACTTCTTAACTTTCAATAGCTACTTGCTACCTCCAGTTTATTGGTGGATCTCCTGTCATTGGGCTTCATTAAAATAAAAACAAATCTGTGGCATTTATGTCAAGTCAAAAGAATCTATGCATTCAGAGTTGTGGCAGGAACTGCATATGAATAAAGGAGTCCCTTTACTACATTCTAAGGAAGAATTTGTATGTTCTATTACAGACAATGCTTTGTTCTCAGCCATGTCTGTCCTGATATGGCTATCCAGATAGACTTATCTTCCAATTCCTCTGACTCCGCAAATCTTTTTTTGTGTCCTCTGGAATTCATGGCCAGTCAGCAGCATAATTCTGTATAATCTCAATATATTTATTTTATTTGAATGTTGCCCTAATAGGAGATTGTGTTGAAGACACAGCTTGTTCAGCAGCTCATATCATTCACATCTCCCTATGCTTTCCTTCAATCTAATGTGAGTTCATTTTTTAGCACTGCAGGTCCAAAATGTTGAATAGATAGTTCGACTTTCAAGATTTTTAGATGCCTTCTTCCGCCCCTTTCAATTGGCAAATGCATCATAGCAAAAATCTGAACAGAACATCTAATTTATGTTCGTGTGCTTCCCTTCTTTCTGGAGTCTTGCATCCTCAAGTCTCTGCTGCTTGGTAGCTCTCAGGTGCCCTCTAACACATTATCTTTCATATTTTACCCAGCCTTACTAATTAGTCTAGCAAGAGGGATGGTCATATTCAAGTTCATGTACTATAGCTAGAAGTAAATATCCTTGTGTTAGCTATTAAGATTTGACGAGGCATGAGAAATAAAGATGCAAAATTGTCCTCATTTACAGATGATATGATTCAACACTTTCAGTATACAGGAGCCAAGACTGAAAAAAATGACTTAAAACATGATGATAAATTATTATGATAGGTGAATAAAAAACAAAAATAAATCGTTTGTAATGTATACATTATATAATTAGAAAACACCCTATTTTGCAAAGCAAAAAACTTGAAACAGACCTCACAATGTGTACGATTTTTAAAGGGAAAAATTATATACTATTGGAAGATTTAAAGTAAGTTGTTAACAAATAGTAAGCATGTAATGTCTTGTAATAAAAACACAACACCATAATGATGACAATTCTGTCAATATTAATATATAAATTTAAAAGAACAGTAAAATAGAAATGTTTTCTGCAATCACTGTGAAGTCAAGCCCAAATTTTATGTAGAAAGATAAAACAACCAGAAAATTCCTAATAAGGCGGATGGATAGCCAGGAGGAACAAGAATGAACATATAGGAAAATATTGTATAACCTTATTAAAGAATTTTATTTAAAGAAGCAACTTGATCCTATTCCCATTTTAGTAAAATCACTGTAATACATAGAAAGGATTATGAACCAACAACACTGAGGAGAGAAGTTAGCTTTTTCAGAGAGAAGTTAGCTTTTTCAGTGATACTTTCAAAATCATAGAATTCTGAATTAGCAAAATAACAGTGAGGCAAGAGGGAGAGATTTAGTAGATGTTATCAATCATGATACTCTTAACACAGCAGTAGCTGCCACATAGAGTGTTTATATAGTTAGGTGCTGT
This sequence comes from Homo sapiens, assembly GCF_000001405.40. Classification (NCBI taxonomy): domain Eukaryota; kingdom Metazoa; phylum Chordata; class Mammalia; order Primates; family Hominidae; genus Homo; species Homo sapiens. The sequence goes on from NC_000018.10 coordinate 14,729,652, forward strand.
GTATATCTCAATGTATTTAACCCACACAAAAACCTTTGTGTTGAGTTCTACTTTAATTTCAATTTGGCAGATGTGGGAATTAAGGCACAGAATTATTGCATTAATTGCCCAAGATCATGCAGTTACTTTAAAAAAGCATGATTCTGGCTTCAGATTCTGGGATCGCACCCTCAAAAGTATACAATTTCACTAAGAGTTTCTGTGACATCATTGTCTGTGGCCTGTGACAATGTCAATGAACTTGTGTCTGACTTGGGGTGTGGGTGAATTGTAGTAGTGCCGTGTATAGAAATATGTGCACACACACACACACATACACATACACACACACACACCCCAACAACTAAGAATCAAAGAACTTGGGTCATCTTTTGAGAAGCATGATTTGAATGATGTCTCAAAAGCAGTGTATATATAAATCCAGCTATGATTAGTGATATCTGAGCTGGCAGAAGAGACCTGGGAATTATCAGTCCATCAATAATAATTAAAGGCATGAAAATGAGATAAAAGTCATTACAAATAAGAAGCAATTTGAACTGTCACTGATCTCTAAATAATAGACATATTGTAAAGAACAGGCAGAATAAATTGAATGAAGAGGAACTGAGAAGGCATATCCAGAGAGGGAGAGAGAGAGAAAGAAAGAAGCAAACTCAAAGAAGTATGGTGTTCCACATGATAATGTAAGTGAACAGAGTTTTTGAAGGTAAAATTCAAATAGACAACTGCCATGGTTTGAATATTTATATCAAAACTTAACGTTGATATTTAATCATCAGTGTAATGATATTGGGAAGTGAGGCCTTTATGAGGTGATTAGGCCAGGAGGGATCTGCCCACATGGGTGGGTTAAACAACTGTTGAAAAGGGCATTCAGAAATGAATTTCAGCTCCTCTGTTCTGCCATGTGGGGAACAGTGTTCCCTCCCTCTGGAGGTTGCATCTTAGAAGCAGAGGTGGGGTCCTTATCAGACACCAAACTTGCGGCTGCCTTGATCTTAAACTTCTCAGTCCCCAGAACTGTGAGAAAAAAACATTCTGTTATTTATCAATTACCCAATTTCAGGTATTTTTTTTGTAGAAGCACAAAACAGACTAAGATAATAACTCCTATCTTTATTCTTATATAATTTTAATATGATTCTTTTATAAGATTCCCAAAATATTAGCCCTGTCATTTTCTCTCCGTTATTTACAGCAATTTTTCTTTAAAAAAATTCAGCTTTTATTTTAAATACGGGGGTATATGTGTAGAAATGTTACATGGTATATTAGACCCACGTAATGAGCATAGCACCCAAGGGGTAGTTTTTCACCCACGTCCCCCTCCTTCCACCCTTTCCCCTTTCCCTAGTAGTCTACAGTGTCTATTATTTCTATGTTTATATCCATGTGTGCTCAATGTTTACCTCCCATATATACATTCTTAGTATGGGGGTACCATTCTTACCTGTAGGGCAACAGCAAACATTACTATCTGTGGACTTGCAGAGTCGTGGTTCCACTGGCGTGAAAACACATTATTATTACATTAGACCAAGACCTAGTTTATAGCAAAGGAGAAGAGCAAGTGGGCCCATGACCATGAGATGACGTACTTACCCATCCAGAAGCTGTCAGCTGGAGAGAGAGTTGAAAAGGCCCGCACAGCTAAAATGTCAGTTTGGAGCCAGTACTTTCTGAGAATTGTGTTTCATCATCTAGGATGCAGCAGATAGGTTGAACAGAAGACCTTTGATGGCTCTGTGGCTCTAGTGGAAAGAATATATGCATTTGGAATCTAAGGTATGCAAAGAAGAATGGCGCCATTAATTAATATAATAGTTCCCCCTTATCCTCAGTGGATCTGTTCCAAGAACCCCCTGGGGGTGCATGGAATTGCAGGTAGTAACATATCCTATGTATACTAAGTTTTTTCCTATATATACATATCTATCATACAGCTTAATTTATAAATTAGGAACAGCAGAGATAACAATAACTAATAATACAATAAAAAATTAAGATAGTATGCCAGTATTATTAATCTTGAGCTTTGGGATTACTGTTAAGTAAAATAAAGTTTACTTAAGCACAACCACTCAATCACTAATAGCCTACTACTGACCAGAAGCCTTACTAACAACATAAAAAGTAAATTAAAATATATTTTGTATGTAATTTGTATTATACACTGTATTCTTAACAAAAAATTAAGCTAAATAACAGAATGTTATTAAGAAAATCAGGCCGGGCACGGTGACTCACGCCTTTAATCTCAGCACTTTGGGAGGCCGAGGCAGGCGGATCTCTAGGTCAGAAGATTGAGACCATCCTGGCTAACATGGTGAAACCCCATCTCTAATAAAAATACAAAAAAATTAGCCGGGTGTGGTGGCGGGTGCCTGTAGTCCCAGCTACTCGGGAGGCCAAGGCAGGAGAATGGCGTGAACCTGGGAGGAGAAAATATACAAAATATATTTACTATTCATAAAGTGGAAGTGGATCATCATAGTGATCTTCATCTTTCTCATCTTCATGCTGAGTAGGCTTAGGAGGAGGAAGAAGAAAAGGGGTTGATCTTGCTGTCTCAAGAGTGGCAGAGGCAGAAGAGGTAGATGAAGTGGAGGGAAGGTAGGAAAGGCAGTCACACTTGCTGTAACTTTAATTTTTAAAAATCACATATAAATGGGCCTGTTCAGTTCAAACTTGTGTTGTTCAAGAGTCAACTGTATATTAAAGTTATTATGAATTGTCACAGAGCCGTTCATAGTGAAATGTTGTACATAACTTAAGTGTCAGATCAAGACTGCCTAAATAAATTAGAGCACACCTGTACAATGGAATGACATTTAGCAAAAAAAGGAGCTAGCCCTTTTTATAGAAGAATCATCAATATATATTTAATGTGAATAAAGAATGGTGCTGATATATATATATAGTATGATATTAGTTTTGCAACTTAAGCAAAATATTTGTAAAAACATTTGCTTCTGTATGCCTAAAACCATTGGAAAGATTGACAAGAAACTAAGAACGTGATTTTATTTTGAGTAATAGTTGTACTGAGTGGACTGAGGATGATTTTCACTGAATAACCATGTATATTTAGGTATCTGTTTAATGGTTTAGCTACTCAAAAAGTATATAAAGTTATATCAAGGACAAATTATTCCAATGAGCAGGATTAAAAATATTTCTAACATAAATATTATAACTGAAATATTATCTACTTATTAAGAGACAAATAAATGACTAAAGTACTTCACTATTCTCTAATATTTTGTTTGGACCAAAGAAGGAAATAATTTTAAAAGCAGTATCTTTAAAAAAATCTTAGTCTAACAAAGTACACTAAACTATTTGTTGCTTAAACTCCATCACTTTAAGTTTTACCTGTAAAGCCATCTAAATAAATACTTAAAGTTAGAGGGGGAAGATAAATAAGTAGCTTTTCATCTGAATACATTACAGTTGAATTACAGTTGATCTTTAAATAACATGGGTTTCAACTACACCACTCCACTATAGTAGATTTTCTTCAGCTTCTGTCATCCCTAAGACAGCAGGGCCAACTGCTTCTCTTAGCCTACTCAATGTGAAGACAATGTGGTTGAGACCTTTATGATAATCCATTTCCACTTTATGAACAATACATACATTTTCTCTTCCTTATGATTTTAATGTTTTCTTTAGCTTTATTGTTAAAAATACAGTTATATATATGTATATCATACAAAATATGTGCTAACTGACTTTATATGTTATTGGTAAGGCTTCTGGTCAACAGCAGGCTATTAGTAGTTAAGTTTTGGGGGAATCAAAAGCTTTTTGGGGATTTTCAACTGCTCCAAGGATGGTGCTCCCAACTCTATAGAGTTGTTCAAGTGTCAATTGTATTCTTGCATATTCTGTTAGTGCAGTAAGGTGTCCAATTTAGAATGCTAGGAGTTGTTACAAACTTTTCTATTTGACTCACCATGAATAATCAACTGGTAGCCAAATACTGATTATAAAAATCTCCATTGTGTGTGTGTGTGTGTGTGTGTGTGTATGTGTACAGGTACTGAATACTTTTTATTACTATTAGTAAATAGACCTAAAGATTCCTCCCTGTTTTGCTGAGACTGTTAATTCATTAATCTACTATATACTAGGTGTATGTCATTATTTCATTGTAAAGTTTGATATTAAACATCACTCTTTCATGATGCTTGAGAGGTTACTCTGGGAAGAGGCCATGACATTTTTTGTCACTATGGCTTTGTCATTTTACAGAGTGAATGACAACAATAGTTTGTTGAATAAATGTGTTGATATGAGATCTACTTCATAAAAATGCACATGAATGCATGATGGAAATTAGAATAAATCATATTGAAAATTATGACTGTGACTCTTCTCTTCCAGTTTATCTATATTTTTTGCTTCAGAATAATTCTTAGTTTTCTAAAGTGTCATAGAAATTACAAAGGGTCTAGTCCAAAATGCTTATCTCATATCTATTATTTAAAAACAGGAGCCCTTGAAGCTATGTATTTTCAATTACTTTATAATTACATACATTGCATGATTGAAATCAAATTGAGAAACATGTTTCTCTTGTGCATACAAAAAGTCTTATCATTGCCAACGTGCAGCCACTTCTGACAATTAAAGTTCTTTACATCAAGAACTGTTTTTTCATTTTCAGTCAAAGATACCAAGCATTAATTCAAGTGTTTTTCTTATTTTTTATTACATTCATGGACGTGTTGAGATGGAAGTTAGAAACCGAGGTAAAGAATAACTCTCATCTGAGATACAGGAAGAAAACTCAGGTATGCAGGAAAATATTAATATAGTGCTTTAGGCCAAAGAGAGCACATCACCCTCACACGCAGCTTTAGCTTTTGGGGATTTGATATGGTTTGGCTCTGTGTCCCCATCAAATTTCATCTTGAATTGTAAGCTCCATAATCCTTACCTGTTGTGGACAGGACCTGGTGGGAGGTGATTGGATCATGGGGACAGTTTCCTCCATGCTGTTCTCATGATAGTGGGTGAGTTCTCATGAGATCTGATGGTTTTATAAGTGTTTGACAGTTCCTCCTATGCGCTCTCTCTTTTTTTCTCTCTCTCTCATTCTCGCTCTCTTGCCTGCTGCCATGTAAGACATGACTGCTTCCCCTTCTGCTGTGATTGTAAGTTTCCTGAGGCCTCTGCATCCATGCTCATGGAACTGTGAGTCAATTAAACTTCTTTTTGTTATAAATTACCAGTCTCTGACAGTTCTTTATAGCAGTGTGTAAACGGACTAATATAGGATTGATATAAATACAAATAAAAGTACCCATTTGCAATACAGCCTCTGCCAATCCTGTGATTCTGACAACTCTCAGAGACAACCCTGATTCAGGTAAGCAGGCTTACACCAACTACATGTATATTACAAAATATTTCCAATTCTGTCTCAATCTAAATATAAAAGTACAGCTATCTAAAGTCTACTTTGTATATGTAATATATCTAACTTGAAAGTATGTGAAATTACACAAAAGCCTAGGAATGAACTTCAATCTCTGTTCTTTTTCCTAAATTATTTATGCACACCATTTAAAATTCCAATAGGCTATCAAACTGTTTGGCAATTTCAATAATAAAAATTATCTAGATTTTTAAAAAATTCAGATATTGCAATATATCCATCCTTTTATACTGTTATTTTAAAATTCTTTTTTTGATAATAGTATTTTAAAAATAATTAATTATAATAAACATTTAAACACAGTTTTCAATTATTTATTATATACCTGGTAATGTGTTTTAAAATTTATGAAATTATCTAACTTAGTTCTTACAAACTCTTTGAAACAGTTATTAGTATTGTTCAGTTTTACAGATGAGGACATCAGGCTCTGATTTATTACATTCCATTCTCACTTGAATCAATTCCATTCCAACACTTCAAAAAAACAAAATGAAACTATTATTGCCAGTGTTACAAATAAAATCCATTTTGAAAATCTAATATAAACTTTTACTTCCTGCCTGATCTTTCTACAGCATTGAATCTTCCTACTACCATTTACCTGGAAACTGTTCCTTTATTTCAGGGACAACATAACCTTCCCTCTTCTCTCTCATGTCTTGCTTGCAGGTCCTTCTTACTTCATTCAGAAACTCATCGTCCAATCTCCAACCATGTAACTTTGAAATGTTCCACAGCTGAATTTGAGGCCACTGCGTTTATTATCAAGATTCACTCTCCTGGTTCCTAAATCCTGTCTCATGGCTTCAAATATCATTTAGATGCTGAGAATTAAAAAAAAATGCATCGCCAGTTATGGCCTCTATTTTAAAATCCAGAGTCAAGTTTAATTAACAATTTGACATTTTTCCTTGAACATATAGTACGGTAGACAATCTCAAATTAATATGCCACAATCGGAACTCAATCTAACCTTTTCATACTCTGATCACCCCCTTCAGATGTGCTTTTATTCAAGGGTTCCATATTTTATAAAAATGAACATATAAAAATATTTGCAAATAGCCTCTATCCTATTAGCATTGTCAAAAATATTTGAATTTTCATCAACTCCTCTATTTATCTTACACCATGTATTGAATCTAACAGGAAATTCAATTAGCACTATATGTAGCCACAATAACTGGTTCTTGCCACCACCACCCTTTCTCTACTATATATTTTTCACAGTGACCTTTAGATTTTCTTGCTTCTGATTTGACAGCTCTAAGTTCAATCCAGGAGCCATTGTCAGTTTTTCAAAAGGAGGTGAGAATGTATGACTCTTCTGTTCTCTGGTTTCCCATCTCACTCAGAAAACACATGCACCATTCTTTGTGCACCAAATAGCACAATCTTTAAAAGTAAAGGTTTATATTTTGCTTTATATATATTTTATCATCAATTTCCTTGAAATATATATTTCTAGTCAGTACAAACCACAGATTACTAGAGACTCTTCAGCAGAATAAGAAATAAGCTAAATATTATGATAAATAAATAACACTCCAAAATAAGGAAAGGCTTCTGATGAATCTTGCCATTTTCAGGAAATCCACCTGGAATCCCATTCTCACAGTATTGGAACTCCCTAATTCTCCCTTTAGCTGCTCATTGTTCACCTAGTCTTTTCACTCTCTCCATCAAAAAAAAAATTTCCTCAGGAAAGGCTCTGATAGAGGAATCATAGTTAGATGAACTAAAACTTCAAATTCTACATATATATACATATATATACGTATATACACATATATACATATATACACATATATACATATATATACATATGTATATATAACTTTAGCAGTAAAAACAAGTAGACTTTAATACTGTTACTTTATAATTCATTTAGGAAAAGAAGGAACACCTTTGCAACTACTCTCATTAAGTTACCAAGATTTTTTTCAATACTAATCTTCACAATTCATATTCAAATACTAAGAATCACTAATGCCTTTAAAAAATACATGTGTATTTCCAATAATTTGATATAGGCTCTCAAAAAGTCATTACATTTTGAGGGTAAAATTGAAACAACCTAAACACTAATGCCGAGTAATGAATATAATAGTTCACACATATTAAACAGCTAATCCATATGTGTAAGACATTGTTATATATATACTTATACACAAAAACAAACATGTATGTGTGTGTATAAAATCTCAACAAATCTCCATAAGAATTATTAGAACTAGTAATTAGACACAGTTGTTCTACTTCTGTAACCCATGATCTTAAACCATTATAGAATAAACCTTAAAAGCAATCATTATTTTCAAAGACAATTTTGAAACTTGCCTTGTGCAAGTTAGTAAATAACTGTGCTCCTTGGTTTCCTCATCTGTTACACGGGTAGAACCTACACTGTTACATGAAGATTAGAGCAGTTAATAGAATATTTTAGTATTTATAGATCTAGAATATAAAAAGGAATTAATAAGTTTTAAGGAGAAAAAAATAAGGGAAAAATAGTCTCATTTTCAACCCTACTAAACATAAAATGTTTTTTACATTTAATTTATACATGCAGGGTAGGTCAGTATACTAAAAATAAAGCACATTTAATTTGAAATTTTAGAAAGGGGTAGATTGTTCTTATTTAGAAAATTGCAGTACATTTTAATTTGTGAGCAGGAGGTCATGGTGTTATTTAGAAACAGTGACAAGAAACTTTTTTTGGCTATTGTAAATGGAAATGGAAAAAAAGAAAGAAAAGCCAAGAGTAGTCATTTGACTCCAACAAGCAGTTTTTAAAAACTATTTCATGTGATTATCAGCTTCAGTTTGAAAGGTTATATATCTGATAAACAAAACACAAAGGAAAAGCTTGATAATTAACAAAAAACTCTATAGTATTTCCTTTTTTTCCATCTTTTCCCAGGTCAGATTCTTGCAAGCAATGGAAAATTAGTGTTTATTTAAGATTTAATGACAATGTTAATGCCACTGTCAATCTGGATTCTTTATCTAGAAAGGCAAATCTGATTTACATTAACCTGAACACCTTAATATCTAATTAAAATCTCAGCCTTATGGCTAAGTTCTTAGACATTTATTCTGTTTAACTCAGCAACAAAATATTATTAGTCACTTTCTTTTGAGAAAGGTGAGTCTAGTTTATCGGTACTATTAGGGCATTTTATAATCTGCAACCTAATTAGCCTTAACAAAATATTTTGTACTCAGCATGACTCAAATATTTTACCCAATAACTTACTGAAAAATAATTCTGCCATTGCATTTCCACTCTAATATACTGCAGTGATTTTCTGTTTGCACATATTTGTCCATGTCATATGTTTGCTTGAAAGAATGTAAAACAAAGAATGCATATAGATTATTAAAGAAATCCTCCCAAATTTGTTCACATATATTAGATCCTAAAACTAAATAGGTTAGTTTTTTTCTGAATTGAAATAGATTAACAGAACATATTAACTGAAATAACTGTCATATTATTTATAATTCTTATCAGACACATGCAATTGAGCCTATGACCGAGCATGAAGACTCTATAAAGGACATCGCTCAAGTACACAATATGATTTTCTTTAATTTTGATCTGAAAGACTGTTAATAGAAAGACTGAAATTCTGTCAAACAAATTGATTACATTTCTACTGGATTTGGGAAATATGTAGCATCTGTGATAAAGTACTTAATCATCACTTATTGTCTTTAGTGTGCAATTTATTATATCCATATTTTTATACCCCTCAAAGTATTTGCAAAATTAATAGAACTTTCTTAAGAATACAGTGACTGTCCTCAAAATCCACTTAATAAATTGGTAGCCTCGAATTTATATTTCATCTACTCTTCCAAAATAATTATTGTATTGTTGGTTTTAAATCTAACATCTCACTATTTCTTTTCTATTTTATCATATGCTTTTCTGGTGCATATTTTTTTCTGCTTTATGTTGATTTTTATGATCCTATTTTTTTCTTTATTAAGTTTTAGGTGTAACTTTTTATTTTGGTAGTTACTTCATAGTTCATAATATGCAGCTTTAACTTACCACAGTCTACCTTCAAATGATATTACATCACTCAGACTGATTTGTGAGTACAGAGAGACTGGGCAGGGACGTAGATGATGAATCAGAAGCACCTGACTCATTTAAAATGCTCACTAATCTTAGTAAAATAAACCCATACAGAAAATTCTTTTATTTTAAGGTGAGTAAACATGCACACACATGGCCCTGCAAGGTCATTCTGTCAATCAGCCTTAATCCAACCCATGAGATATCAGTTTACCAGTTTATGATCATTGCCATAGAAGAGTTTTTTTATTTTAGATTCTAAGTTTAAACTGAAGATTCAATGGATGTGGAACTAGTTTTATTTTTGAGCGAGAAAATAACTCAATTAAATGTACTGTGTCTCAAAATATGCAGTATACACACCACCATGAAAACGAGACAACAGTAAATAAATTATGACATCTAGAAAATTAGGTAAGACTGTGTTCAATAATGAGGCAAAACAGGATGTGAATGTCACTTACGCTATCAGAGAGAAATGTGGGGTTTCATCCACTAAATGTGAGGTTGAATGTATAGAACGTTATTTCAAATATGTCTTGATTTGTATCTAAATTTATATCCTATAAAATCATGCAGAATATGAGGAGTCATTATCTAATTTTCAGTAGGAAAAATGTGAATCAGTACTAATACTAAAAACTAATAATTTACTCAATGCCAGGCAATGTTTCTTGTGTTTTATGTTTTTAGAAAACAATTATGAGATAATTGTGAAGAAAACAATTCTTCACTTTTCAAGAAAGAAAACCAAAATAATGAGAAACTAAGTAAGTGGCCCACCCAACGTCGTATAGTTAAGAAATGACTAAGTTGTAGACCTTGTAGACCTTAACATGGTTTGTTTGTTTGTTTGTTTGTTTGTTTGTTTTGAGATGGCATCTCACTCTGTTGCCCAGGCTGGAGTGCAGTGGCAGGATCTCGGCTCACTGCAAGCTCTGCCTCCTGGGTTCACACCATTCTCCTGCCTCAGCCTCCCAAGTAGCTGGGACTACAGGTGTCCACCACCACTCTCAGGTAATTTTTTTGTGTTTTTAGTAGAGACAGGGTTTCACCATATTATCCAGGATGGTCTCGATCTCCTGACCTCGTGATCCGCCTGCCTCGGCCTCCCAAAGTGCTGGGATTACAGACGTGAGCCACCACGCCCGGCCGACCTTAGCATGTTTTTAAGTAAAATGTATTATTTTTCATGTGTAATATTTGCTCTGTCTCTCATGTATACATAAAATTATAAATATAATCATGAAGAGAATTATAATAGCCAACTTTCTCTATATTTCAGAGATATTGGTTTGGCATTGCTTTCGGCAGATATTTCAACATTAGCCTCTGGAGTGGAGTTGGGGACAGGTTGATCTCAGTGTTTCAAAAATATATGAGAACTGTGAACCTATATTAGTGGATTGCCTATTGGCGACTTCTAGTTGAACACTATCAAAATTGACAACTAAAAAAATAATGAAATGAGAGAAAGTGTTTATAGCGCTTAAGAGGATAAATTAGTTTCTTTATGTCTAGATTTTATATTAAATAAAGAGCTTTCAGGAAAAGTAAATGACAGTTAATGATTTTGATTATAATCAGTCAGATTTTTTTCCATATTTGAGCAAAAATTGTAATTGACTTATCCACTGCTTTCAGTGTAGATTAGCTGAATCATCTAACTTATGTCATCTCTTATAAATATTGATTGAGATGAAAAATGAATAAATGATTTATTTATCTTATAACAGTTCTATGTTGATAATGTAAAAAATACTGACAGGTTCATCTAAAATATGTTTGGATAAGCTACATTATATATGATTCATATCTTATGTATAATTTATATATCATATTTGATTGGTTCATACACAAAGGAACAAATGTTTCTATATAAGAAAGTTATTTTGCTTATTATAGAATTTAAAACTAAAATGATTCTTCCACGATGGCCATTTAGCAATTTAAATTTAGGAAACTTCTGGCATGTTCAATTGAGTATTTACTTTGCATAATTGTGTTCCATATCTTAATGCATTCCCTTTAGCAGTTTCTTTCAGCAAGCAACACATGTAACCTTGTTTCTCACTAAATATTTTTTATTTTAGCAAAGTTTTAGACCTAGAGATTTAAAGAAAAATTGCCAAGATGTTACAAACATGAACTCTTGAACCGAATCTTTTATTTTTAAGCATGCAAAACGGTGTGGTTTTTTAAAACCCTGAAGACATAAATGTACCACTGAGAACCCAAAGAAAATTGGACTGTTTTGTTTTGTGATTTGATGTCTGAAAAATAAAATCCTTTAGTTTCCTTTCATTTTTCCTCAGAGAATATAGACTGTGTTGTGATGTCAAACTCATTCTGAGTTTAGATGCCCCATGGGCAAATCGTTTGGTCTAATTAAAACAAAATGAAGACAAATCTCTTACAAGTAAATCTTTGATGGTGGGAAATGTAGCGTCATGTTTTAAAAGCCTTCACAGAAGACAAAGTACCTCTCAATCTTGTAACTCTACTTTTTATAGCTACCCAAAATAATTATTAAGGCATATTTGATATATTGTAATCAATTTATATTTGTGTTTTGTTTAATAATTGGGCTCCTTTGGACCATTTGCTGCAAATATCCTATATTAAAAAAAACTTTGTCTAAATATATCATGCAGAAAAATATTTATACCTAAAAATATAAACTCCATTAACAAAAATTGTTCAGCAAAACTCTATTAATTCAATACATTGTATGGTTAATTTTTGTAGCCAATTTTTCCTTTTCTTCTCTCTAATGATGTGATGTTCTTCAATGTCTTCTGAAAACTTGAGCATAGGAAGTTGGAAGTGTATAAAGCAAAACAAATAGTAAGGAGAGAATTTAGAATGCTAATTTTTGAAGGGGAAATATAAATTTTACAACTCTTAGTTTGCATTTTAAATTTATATTATTATCTGTATTTAAGTATTTAAGTTGATTTTCACCAGCGTGTTAGTGTGTTTGTGTTGTTGTAAAACAAATACCTAAGACTGGGTCATTTATAAAGAAAATAGATTTATTTGGCCCTTGGTTCTGCAGATTGTACACAATGCATAGTGTCAGCATCTGCTTGTGGTGAGGGCCTCAGGAAGATTACAATCATGGCAGAATTTGAAGGGGAGCCAGCATGTCATAGGGCACGAGAGGGAGCAAGAGAGAGAGGGAAGGTGCCACACTCTTTTAAACAACTAGATCTCCTGTAAACTCTTTACCACTCATTACCCAGGGGAGGGAACCAAACCATTCATGAGGGATTTGCCCCCATGACCTAATACCTCCCACTAGGCCCCATATCCGACAATACAGGTCACATTTTAATATGAGACTTGGAGGGGATAAAACATCCAAACCATATCAACTGTTCACTGCTAACTACTAAATCAAAGAATTAATTTTTTACAGGCAATGTATTATTCTTCATTCAAAGAAAAATACTTGACTGGACCTTATGAGGAGAAAATGTTAATCTCTTGCAGTTTTTAATTAAATAAAATAGTTTGAGGCTATTTGTGCAAATTAAGGCCATTGAGAAGGACTGTAGACTATAAAAAGATTCCAGACATTTTCTATAAACATATTTCATTTTATATATATATATATATATATATATATATATATATATATATATATATATATAGTTGTTATCATGGTAGATTTATACCACTGCCATCTGGAAGTAATTCCCTTATTCAATACAGAAGGATTTCTCATCCTTCTCCTAAATATTTTCTTCTAGCTCAGAGTGCCTGTGGCCAAAACAAGGGATTTTAAAACAAAAACAAAAAATTCTGCTATCCCCATGTGGGTTATCTTTCTTTTGTAGTCTTCTTTTTACTTGAGTTAAAATATTTCCTTTGAATTTCGACTGGCAAAGATACTGAAGGACATCGAATGTGGTTTAGGGCACTGTTCCTGCGCCTGTGTTCACTAGATCAGTAGTGGAGGTGACTGGAGATATTGGAAGAAAGAAAGAAACTAGGGTAGCTCATATCACCCATTCCACGTTTTTTCTCTTTAGGATGTCCCAGCCTGCAGTGAAAATGAATTCTGTTCTGCCTCTGCTGTGCGGTAAATTTAGCGATAAAGTTTCTGCTCTGTGCTCTGTACTGGAGTGTAGTGTAGGAAAATCCCTGTTGCTAAGCACCACGCCAACAACACCATGAGCTACAGAGATCACATGTTTATTTCATTATGCTTTACTTCTGTTTTTTGTTTTGTTTTTTTTTTTTTTTGAGACGGAGGAGTCTGGCTCTGTAGCCCAGGCTGGAGTGCCGTGGCGCGATCTCGGCTCACTGCAAGCTCTGCCTCCCGGGTTCACGCCATTCTCCTGCCTCAGCCTCCCGAGTAGCTGGGACTACAGGCGCCCACCACCACGCCCAGCTAATTTTTTATATTTTTAGTAGAGACGGGGTTTCACCGTGTTAGCCAGAATGGTCTTGATCTCCTGAGCTCATGATCTGCCCACCTCGGCCTCCCAAAGTTCATTATGCTTTACTTCCATGTCTATCTCGAATTGTTCCATATTCAGAGAAAACAGGAAGGTAAGTTGTTAACATTCTTCATTGCAACCAATTTTTTAGAACTAATTCTACATTGAGGAATGTCTTATATTTTAACCAAAACCTTTCGATAAATTACAGAGTTGCTGAATATATCTAGATCTAAATCTTAAACTATATCTATAGCTATTATATAGATGTATATGATTTATCAAGAGCTATTATCTGGAATATATACTGGATTCCTTTTACAATTTTCATAATGTAACCAGAAAATGACCCTTGAGATCCTTGAGAGTGATTATGTAAACATATCCTTGATTTGGTGTCTCCAGCCTAATTATCACAGTTAAAATTTTGGTATTAAAAATGGAGCAAAGATAATAAGACTTGTAAAGCAGCAGACCTTACAAAATGTTAAAAACAATTTTATTTACGTAGTGCCTCCACACAGACCTAATTATATGTATTAAACCTAATGTTTAACATTATTAGCGAGTCAGAGAATTTAGAAAAATCAGACATAATTTTAGATAAAATAAATATTAATACTAGTCATTAATATTAATCCCTGTTTGATAAAATGACTCTATATGAAAATAACTGCCCTCAAATTACTTTCATCTCACATATTTTTAATGAAAGGAAATGGTGGCTGGGGGCAGTGGCTCACACCTGTAATAACAACACTTTGGGAGGCCAAGGCCGCAGATCACTTGAGATCAGGAGTTCAAGACCAACCTGGCCAACCAGGTGAAACTCCATCTTTACTAAAAATACAAAAGTTAGCTGGTTGTGGTGGTGGGTGTAATCCTAGCTACTCGGGAGGCTAAGGCAGGAGAATCACTTGAACACAGGAGGTGGAGGGTGCAGTGAGCCAAGATCGTGCTACTGCACTTCAACCTTTGCAAGAGATCAAAACTCTGTCTCAATAAATAAATAAATAAATAAATAAATAAATAAGGAGATGGTATGGAATCATTATTAATGTTGGGCCCCTCATGTTAGCTAATATGTTTAAACCTAGGTCAAGATAGAAACTGACCCAGATTATTAGCATGTTTCAGTGCATAATATTTTAAAATAATTCAACACTGACACATAATACTATGCTATTCCACTTAGATATAAAAAAATGGCAAGAGAAGTCTCATGTTCTTGTCCCGGCATGGTGACTTACACCTGTAATCCTAGCACTTTGGGAAGCCAAGTGGGGAGGATCCCTTGAGGCCAGAAGTTTGAAACCAGACTGGGCAACATAGTGAGACCTATCTCTACAGAAAATTTAAAAACTAGATGGGCGTTGTGGCAAGCACCTGTAGTCCCAGCTACTGGGGAGGCTGAGGTGGGAGAATTGCTTTTCCCAGGAGTTCCAGGCTACAGGGAGCTATGATCACATCACTGCACCCCAGCCTCCGTAATACAGTGAGACCCTGTCTCTTAAACAAAAACAAAAAATAATCCCAGAATTCTAATGTTCTTATATGATACAGGACTTTTAAAAATTAGCCAGGCATGGTGGCCCATGCCTGTAGTCCCGGCTACTTGGAAGGCTGAGGCACGAGAATCACTTGAGCCTGGGAGGCGGAGGTGGCAGTGAGTCGAGATCACGCCACTATACTCCAGCCTGGATGGTAGAGTGAAACTCTGTCTCAAAATAAATAAATGAGTGAAAGTACACCGAAAGTTTTAACTTAACAAATTTTATTTACGCCTCACATTGATGGAGTGACAAGAACAAATAAG
The DNA here is from genome assembly GCF_000001405.40 of Homo sapiens. NCBI lineage: Eukaryota > Metazoa > Chordata > Mammalia > Primates > Hominidae > Homo > Homo sapiens. The sequence continues at coordinate 14,745,458 of NC_000018.10, forward strand.
TAATACTAATGAAGGTATAGGATATTTTACAATTTTTTAAAAATTAGACCCTTATATACACAAAGTAATTGAATTTTTTTTTTTTTTTTTTTTTTTTTTTTTTTGAGACGGAGTCTCGCTCTGTCACCAGGCTGGAGTGCAGTGGTGCGATCTCGGCTTGCTGCAACCTTCGCCTCCTGGGTTCAAGCAATTCTCCTGCCTCAGCCTCTCGAGTAGCTGGGACTACAGGCACGCGCCACCACGCCCGGCTAATTTTTTGTATATTTAGTAGAGACGGGGTTTCACCATGTTGGCCACGATGGTTTCCATCTCTTGACCTCGTGATCCACCTGCCTGGGCCTCCCAATGTGCTGGGATTACAGGTGTGAACCACCACGCTCAGCTGCAAAGTGATTTAAATTTATCAACAATTTTAATGCAAAATTTTTGTCATTTGTGATATTTTCCAATAGCTTATCCGAATTCCTTAGAATCAGATTTCAAAATAAGATTCCCAAGTCAGATTTCTTTGAAATTACAATCCGAAAATATTTAGATTTTAGAAAGGTAATGTGGTAAATATTCTGCCTATTATGGAATAACTCTAATGGCAAATCATATGAATAATCACATGAACTGGGATCAATAAGACTATAAATACCCCTGGTCGGGTGCGGTGGCTCACACCTGTAATCCTAGCACTTGGTGAGGTTGAGGCGGGTGGATCACAAGGTCAGGAAGTCGAGACCATCCTGGCTAACACGGTGAAATTCCGTCTCTACTAAAAATACAAAAAATTAGCTGGGCGTGGTGGCAGGCACATGTAGTCCCAGCTACTCGGGAGGCTGAGGCAGGAGAATGAATGGCGTGAACCCAGGAAGTGCAGCTTGCAGTGAGCCAAGATCAAGCCACTGCACTCCAGCCTGGGCGACAGAGCGAGACTCCGTCAATTCACTAGGGATAAAAGTCAGAAGAACAGAAATTGTGAGTTCCTTTGTGAAGATCCAAGGACCTTCAAGGACCTCTGAATAGCCAAGAATAATCATTCCTGTTTTTCATCTTCAATGGATAAAAGAGCCCATTATACCTTTCTAGCCTATTCTGGAATAAGTAACAATGAAATTTTATTTAGTGTAAACTAACAAAGAAAACAGAGTAAGTTAATGAAATGTAGTCTCTACAACTTGTTAGACTGTTTATTTTTTATTTGTTTTTTATTTTTAGTTGGACTTTGTTTTTGAGACGGAATCTCGCTCTGTCACCCAGTCTGGAGGGCAAGGGCTTGATCTCGGCTCACTGCAACCTCTGCTTCTCAGGTTCTAGTGATGCTCCCTGCCTCAGTCTCCCTAGTAGCTGGGATTACAGGCGCACACCACCACGCCCAGCTATTTTTAGTAAAGACAGGGTTTCGCCATGTTGGCCAGGCTGGTCTCCAACTCCTGACCTCAGGTGATCTGCCCGCTTCAACCTCCCAAAGTGCTGGGATTACAGGCTTGAGTCACGGCACCAGGCAACATGCTAATTTTTGTATGTGTGGTAGAGACGGGGTTTCACTCCATGTTGGCCAGGCAGGTCTCCACCTCGATCTCAGGTGATCCACCGGACTCGGCCTCCCAAAATACTGGGATTACAGGCCAGAGTCACCGCGACCGGCCTGCGTCCATGTTACTTAAAGTACAAAGTAACCTACAAAGTAACCCGCCAGGCGCGGTGGCTCACGCCTGAAATCCCAGCATTTTCAGAGGCCGAGGCAGGCGAATCACCTGAGGTCGGGAGTTGCCGAGACCAGCCTGACCAACATGGAGAAACCCCGTCTCTACTAAAAAAAAAAAAAAAAAAAAAAAAAAAAAAAATTAGCCAGCATGGTGGCACATACCTGTAATCCCGGCTACTCAAGAGGCTGAGGCAGGAGAATCGCTTGAACCTGGGAGGCGGAGGTTGTTGCAGTGAGCCGAGATCGCACCATTGCACTGTAGCCTGGGCGTCAAGAGCCAAACTCCGTCTCAAGAAAAAAAGATTACATCCTGGCACGGTGGTTCATGCCTGTAGTGGCAGCAGCGGTGGCAACCCCAGAACCTGTCCGTGCCACCAGCAGCGGGGAACCCCAGGGTCGGACGCCGCCACTGCGCCTAAATCAGGCGGTGGGACCTCAGCTGTGTGAGGGCGGGAACCTGCCGCAAAGCCTCATCCTGGCAACTATACATGGCCCAGAGGTCGCGAGCCTGCGCTGCCAGCGCGGGCCAAGGAAGAGCAGAGCCCAGGGTGGAAGGGCGGTGCACTCGGCGACCCTCAGCGGTCTGGGCCCAGCCCTGCAGCCTCCACCGTGGACTCAGGTGCAGCTCCCACCTGAACATGGCACGCGGCAGCGGGGGCTCCAACCCGGACCCTGTCCGTGCCAGCAGCAGGGCGGATACTTGGGCCAGAAGCTTCCAGGGCGCCTAAGTGAGGGGGTCGGTCCCCAGCTGCAGGAGGGCGGGAATCGACGCTCAGCGCGGCCCTGGAGGCTGCACGGTGCCCAGTACCAGGGTCCAGCTCCTGGATCGCGGGTCGAGGAGGGGCCAGGGGCGGCTATGTCAAGCAGGCCGTGTTGCAGGGAGCCCCACACGTTCCGCTCCAGGGAGGCCCGCCAGCCCGGCAGCGCCTCAGCGGCCGGTGCCACCTGCACGCGGTGCCCGGTGGAGCGCGGCCAGGGCGCGTGTCTCCTCAGCCTGCTGAGCTGCGCGTGAGCTGCTGCTGTAACGCTCTAACGTTAGAGCAGCTAACGGCTCTGCTCAGAATTTCTCCCGACAGAGGCCGGAGTGTTCAAGAGCTTGGCGATACAGAAATTTCTGCTGGTGTTGGGGCGGGTGCGGGAACTGAAGACGGGCGAGTGCGAGCCGGGGGCGGGTGCTGGGGAAGGGTAAGCGGGAAGCGAGGGCGAGGGGTAGGGGCTGGGGAAGGGCGAGCGGGAGGCGCGGGCTCTCTCTAGCAGGGGGCTGCAGCCATGAAGAGGCTCTTAGCTGCCGCTGGCAAGGGCGTGCGGGGCCCGGAGCCCCCGAACCCCTTCAGCGAACGGGTCTACACTGAGAAGGACTACGGGACCATCTACTTCGGGGATCTAGGGAAGATCCATACAGCTGCCTCCCGGGGCCAAGTCCAGAAGCTGGAGAAGATGACAGTAGGGAAGAAGCCCGTCAACCTGAACAAAAGAGATATGAAGAAGAGGTACCAGGCCCTGCCTGAGCCGGGGCTGCAGGAGGAGGAGGCGGCTGTGGGAGGATCGCCCCTTCAGAGTGGTGGCTGGGGGTCCTGGGGACGAGGGGAGCAGGTGGAGGAGTGGCGGGCGATGGGGCGGCCGTCCTGGGCCCCGAGGTCTTGGCCTTCTTCCCGGTCAGGCCCCCCAGGCCTGGGATGGGGGCGCCCTGCAGGGCAGAGGGCACAGGCCACCTTAAAATCAACCCCAAGCTTTAGCTGCTTTCTCCTTCACTCCCACTTCCCCTCACAAAGCACTCTGTAGAAAATTTTAAAGTGATTAAACTCACAAAATTAAGTACATACAGGGTTTTACTTTTAATGTACAGGTTTTAAAAGATAATGTTAGATACACTATGAAATGGTGCATAATGAACTAATTCCCATAATATATGACCTTCTTGGCTAAAAATTCTTTGGATAAAGTCCAATGTCCATTTTGATATCAATGAATGTCTATGTAAATATGTTCTTTGCTGAGGGACCTTAGAAGGAAACTTCGAGGTGGGAAGATAGTTTATGTTCTTGAATTTAAGAAGACTCATTTTTCTCAAGATGCGACTTACCAGTTTTACATAAACCAAATAAAGCTATTAACGTTTTAACATTTTTTAAATTACACAGGCTTTTACTGTTGTGATGACATTTTAAATATTTTGTAATGGAGTAGAAAAGTCTTGCCCTTCTAGATATCAAAATGCGCTATTAATTTGCACAAAATGGGCCAGGAGCGGTGGCTCACGCCTGTAATCCCAGCACTTTGGGCGGCCGAGGCGGGTGGATCATCTGAGGTCAGGAGTTCAAGACCAGCCTGGCCAATATGGTGAAACACCGTCTCTACAAAAATACAAAAATTAGCTGGGCCTGATGTCGGGTGCCTGTAATCCCAGCTACTTGGGAGGCTGAGGCGGGAGAATTGCTTCAACCTGGTAGGTGGAGGTTGCAGTGAGCCGAGATCCCACCATTGCAATCCAGCCTAGGTGACAGAGTGAGACTCTGTCTCAAAAAAAAAAAAAAAAAAAAAAAAAAAAAAAATCACAGATTGTTTGCTAACAGCTGAAAAGACAGGTAAATGAATACAACAGAATAGAAAATCCAGAAACACCCAAACATATGTAAGAATTTAGAACTTGATAATGATCACAAGGATCATTATCCTTGTGGAAAAGAATTAGTTTCATAATTCTTTTAGGAATATGAATTATTAGGAAAAGAATTAGTTTCATAAGTGAAATGCCTGCTTTTTGGAGAAAACTAGATTTTTATGGCACAAAATAAGTTCCTGATGGAATATAGATTAAAAATTTTTAATATACAAAAAGATAAAAATACCAGAAAAAACATAAATGCCTATTTACACAGATACATTTTTATGTTGACAAAACCTTTCTAAGAAGCTCAGAAGCAAGCATTCTGAAGAGTAATTTAGTAAAACAAAAATTAAATCACCCTGCATATGAGAAAAAATAAAAGGCAGCATACTTGTAAAATATTTACTACTCATGTATGTGTGTGTGTGTATACATATTAGAATTAAAAATCTTCCTTTTATAGAGAATTCACTCAAATCAACAGAAAACCCTCTAATTTAAAATTGGGCAATTTAAGTTAGAGATCTAAATTGCAGATCTAAAAAAGTACTTGGCCTCTAATTTAAAACTGGGCAAAGTCCTTTTTTAAGATCTGCAAGTAACCTATGCACACAGGAAACAATATTAGTGTTCCTGGTTAGAGAAGGCATTTAAGTTAAAAGAGGAATCAAATACTGTTTTCTATCCACAAAGTTTGTGAGGATAAAAAGCAGTGATATTTATAGTACTCCTTAAAGTGTAAGTTGCAGATGAGTTTTCAAATAAACAATTTGATGGTAAGTACCATATTTAAAAAATTGTATATGCCCATTAGTGATCCATTCTATTATACTAAAATATTTTTAGAAAATAATGCAACATACACACAATTTCTTTTCTGAGCACTGCTTAAAATATCAATGTATTAAAAAGAATCCATTTAATGGCTTTTATAAATACATTTCAGTGAGTTTACAGCATGGGATAATATGTGACCACTCAAGGTAGAAACATATACGGAAGTATGTTGACATTTGAAAATGTATTTTGGTGTACCAAGTGAGGGTAAAATTCAGTTTGATTATACATACAGACTATGGTCTTGTGTTATCTGAAATTATGTCCAAAATTTGATAACATTTGCTATTTGAGGATACTTGTTTTAATATAAAATGTTTTTCCTTTTTTTATCTTTGATTTCTGCATTGAGCATGTACGATGCTATTAGTAAAAGTTTATTATTAATGAAATAATTTTTGGGAGGAGCAGCAATATGTATTTTGCACAGATGAAAATAATTTCTCACTTTCTATATTTTATTTTTTTGTGCATTTGTATATTCTGTGAACTTTTAGCATCTTCAGAAGAGAATATTTTTATCTCTGCTTATTGATTTACATATACATTTTATTAAACACATTTTTATTATATATAGGCTTATTACATATATGTCAATAACTATAGATTAATCATTTTAGTGTAGTTTTATTATTAGAAAAATAAAATGACAAATATAAGTGTTTTATTTATAGCAGTTTTTTAAGATACTGTACTTCCCAACTGTATTTATCCATTCTTTTAATCCATTTATCACATGTAAGCTGGATGCCTATTATGTAGAAGATACATTCTATTAACTCTCAAGACCTTTTCATCCTTAAAAATTTCATGTTTACCTGCTCAGCCTGAGCAAAGTGAGAGATTTAAAATTGGAGTATTAGGACTGAATCTCAATTAAGCTTTTCCTCTCATGTTTCAAACAAAAACACTTCTGAAGTGAGAAACGAGTAAAAGATAACTACCAACCAGGTTTTGGAAATTTATAACAGCTCTAAATAGTAATATTAATCATCAAAAATACCTAATTTACATGCATTCTATAAATCTAAATATGAATTTCCATACATTCTGTAAATCTAAATAGGGAATAAAATGAGCCATACCTATTTATTTGAAACCAAAGTTTTCTTTGGCTTGAAGTTTTTAAAATCTTGAGGAAGTAGTTTGTTTTAACAATTTGTTGTTTTTATTTCAACTCTCCTATTGTGTAGTCCTCTAAAAAGCTAAAATTTCTTTCAGTGTTAATCCTGTGACTAGGACTGCCATCGTCCTGTTGTATATACCGTATTCCACTTCTTGGAAGACACTGTGAATTGTGTGATGCCTCTTTATTTTATGCACCAATTAAAGATTGTTTAAATTTCTGCCAAATATAGTTGTAATAAATAATGAATTATAAATGGCATTTCAATGTCAGAGATGTTAAAATATGAGCAATTGAGCATCTTAGAATCATTAAAATACTGTGTTATCTCTAACCTTTAAAACACACCACGAAGTAGGCATAATTGCACCATTTTACTTAAAATGTTTTCTTTATTAAGTAGTAGTAATAATTATAATATCTAACAATTACTTAGCTGTTACATGTACTAGGAACTCTCCAAAATACTTTGCATAGATTCTCAATGAGGCATCACAGTGATGTCCTGTGAGATAACGGCTGTATTCATCTCCATTTTATTGATGAGAAAAGCGAGGTGCAGAAAGTTTAAGTGACAGCTAGAAAGTGAAAGACCTTAAAGTAATATTCAAGCTCAAGTTGAACTGAATCCAAAGGCCAAGCTCTTTGTATTCAAACAGGCCACTCTTTCATTAATGCGGTGAGTAATAAGAGAACGAATGTTGTACTTTCTTCAGGAGAATATTAAATATTTGTTTTGAAGGTAGAGAAAGAGCATGGTATTTAATGTTTACAATTACCTAAATCGTTGTATGTTTTGAGACAGTGGGCTATACTTTGCCTAAAAGTCCTCTCACTCTCGTAGGACTGCTCTACACTGGGCCTGTGTCAATGGCCATGCAGAAGTAGTAACATTTCTGGTAGACAGAAAGTGCCAGCTTAATGTCCTTGATGGCGAAGGGAGGACACCTCTGATGAAGGTAAATAGTAGCCAGTTTTTTCAGCGGGAGATGGATTTGGTTTAAATACATAGAATAAAAATGAATTTAGTTGAAATACAACTAGTTTGTGAAACCTGTGGAATACTTATTTTGATTTCCTATAATTTATAATGTACTTCTTGCTTTAATACTGACAGGCTCTACAATGCGAGAGGGAGGCTTGTGCAAATATTCTCATAGATGCTGGTGCTGATCTAAATTATGTAGATGTGTATGGCAACACGGCTCTCCATTATGCCGTTTATAGTGAGAATTTGTTAATGGTGGCAACACTGCTGTCCTATGGTGCAGTCATCGAGGTGCAAAACAAGGTAGACATTAACCAATGTTATTTTCAAAATATTTGAAATCCATTTGTTTTAATGTTAACATATGTAAGGCTTTTATATTTGGAAACACAAACATTCCTTGAGTGAAAATAATTTGAAAGAACTTAATTATCTAAGATTTAACCTTAAATATTAATTTTTTAAAAGAACTATTAGAGAGTATGGCTTTTCTGTGCATTTATGATAAATATTTGAATTTGTTAAAGGTAAAACTTTTTCAAATATTCTTTCCTACCCAAGGTTTTTTTTTCTTTCCAATTAGTGTAAAACTACAGGAAAGCAAAATTTGCCTGTGTAAATTGAGTCAACATGTAAAATTTAGGATACGTGCAGAAATCTGGATTTCCTCTTAAAGGATTGCATCTGGTGTCTCTTGAGCACATATGACTGTTTGGTATGCTAAGAGAACGTTCTAGCTTTACACAAAGCATGTTTCCAGTTTGCCACTGTGCCCACCTAGTTACATCACTTACTGAACTTACCTCTTTTGCCTCTGTAAATATTTCAGTTATCAATTCCTCTCTCATAGTATATTTTGGTAAAGGTTTCAAGGTATTCAAGACAGTTGATAGCTGTTTATAATATATAGTTTATATTTTACATTAATTCATTAATACTGGGGTTGACTTCTAGAATTTCGAAGACTTTTTAAACAATGATTTTTCTGTATATAAACCATAAATAATAATCTTTTATTAGAATGCCTTTAAGCCTTTTTAGATTAATTTTGGTTGTATTTGAATAGGTTATGCATATTGCAGAAAATATTATATCCTTCTTCTTAGAATTGTCCCTTAAAATTCAAGTGATTTAGGGGCTTCTGTTATGCTAATCCACATAGATGAGTTAGAACTTTCATTAGTAAGCCATTTTATTCATATTTTTGATATTTTTCCAAAAATTAAGTAGCAATTACAATAGCAACCAGAATAAAAATGGATTATTGCATTTAAAGAAGTAGATATGCATTAGGATCCTAGGATTATCATTATAATTGAGAATAAACTTTTATACTGAATTTCTAATAGCCGAGAAAAAATTCTATTGTCTTGTAATAGGAGAAACCTCATGGACCATTTAATAATAAGCAGTCAAAGTTCATTTGAAGCCAATCTCTTTTGATTTAGAGCCACTTCCTTAGTGACCCATTTAGAGCAGGAGTGCCTGACATTGGCATCTGGGATCTTGGGATTATTGATAGAATAGAATCAAGAGAGTTTGTATCACCTACAGGAAACCTCCATTTTTCTTGGGAAGCTTTCAAAACTGTATGCCTGAAATTCTAATTTGTCAAATGTTAATCTCTGCCACAAAAATATATTGTCAAGTAAGTATTAGGCAAAGTTCAAGTCATTTATTGAATAATGGACATTTAGTTCACAGTTTTATAATATTTCTTGAACATAGATAATGGTGGAATCTGTTGGGGTACAGTGCTTCTGGTAAGGTAATTATTCTTTGGAATATAGTTTAAGAAACACTGCTCTAGAGGTAATATTATAGATTACTCATTTAGTCAAAAACAAAGTATTTACTACTATGTCTTAGGGTTTAAGGATATAGAGATAAAAGATACAGCCCTTGCCCTCATGAAGCTCTTGGTTTAGATGGGAAACCATAAAATCATTACAATATAATGATTTTTGGAGATAACCAGAATTAATGTGGTGATGCAGAGGCTGAATATTTACAAGGGAAGGTGCAGTGCATGGGAAAGCACAGAAAAAGGAGAAAGAAGGGACTGCTATTGATTTACTTATTTACTTTCTACTTTATGTGTTTAAGTTAATAGGATATAATATAAGGTATTCAGTTCAGCTGAGAAATATGTAATTTCATGAATTATATATTGTTCTGCTATTTTACAGGCTAGCCTCACACCCCTTTTACTGGCCATACAGAAAAGAAGCAAGCAAACTGTGGAATTTTTACTAACAAAAAATGCAAATGCAAACGCATTTAATGAGTCTAAATGGTATGGTAGTTCTTTTTTTTTACTAAAAAACACTTGACTAGTGTTCTAGAGTAATAATGCTCAAGTCAGAAATATTAAATTAACAACATTTAGTTAAAATTATTAGATTATAGTGAAACATATCAACACAAATTATCAGAAGAAAAGCAATTATTTGGACTGGTCAACATAAAAAACAGTGTATAGTAGGACTTATCTTCTCTTATTATATTGACTGATTCTTATTTGTAATCTGATGATTTTGGTTGCATTATTTTCTATTAGCTAAAGTGGTTCTGCATCAGTTTTAAGAAGTATGAACTTTTTTAGTTTGCTTTATAATTCAATATTGAATTATTAACAGTTTTATAGTATTTTTCTAACTTCTCTTTTTTATACACTTTTTTAATTTCTTTTTTTATTATTATTATACTTTTAAGTTTTAGGGTACATGTGCACATTGTGCAGGTTTGTTACATATGTATACGTGTGCCATGTTGGTGGGCTGCACCCATTAACTCGTCATTTAGCATTAGGTATATCTCCTAATGCTATCCCTCCCCCTTCCTTCCCCTCACCCCTCAACAGTCCCTGGTGTGTGATGTTCCCCTTCCTGTGTCCATGTGTTCTCACTGTTCACTTCCCACCTATGAGTGAGAACATGTGGTGTTTGGTTTTTTGTCCTTGCGATAGTTTGCTGAGAATGATAGTTTCCAGCTTCATCCATGTTCCTACAAAGGACATGAACTCATCATTTTTTATGGCTGCATAGTATTCCATGGTGTATATGTGCCACATTTTCTTAATCCAGTCTATCATTGTTGGACATTTGGGTTGGTTCCAAGTCTTTGCTATTGTGAATAGTGCCACAATAAACATACGTGTGCATGTGTCTTTATAGCAGCATGATTTAGAGTCCTTTGGGTATATACCCAGTAATGGGATGGCTGGGTCAAATGGTATTTCTAGTTCTAGATCCCTGAGGAATCGCCACACCGACTTCCACAATGGTTGAACTAGTTTACATTCCCACCAACAGTGTAAAAGTGTTCCTATTTCTCCACATCCTCTCCAGCACCTGTTGTTTCCTGACTTTTTAATGATCGCCATTCTAACTAGTGTGAGATGGTATCTCATTGTGGTTTTGATTTGCATTTCTCTGATGGCCAGTGATGGTGAGCATTTTTTCATGTGTCTTTTGGCTGCATAAATGTCTTCTTTTGAGAAGTGTCTGTTCATACCCTTTGCCCACTTTTTGATGGGGTTGTTTGTTTTTTTCTTGTAAATTTGTTTGAGTTCATTGTAGATTCTGGATATTAGCCCTTTGTTAGATGAGTAGGTTGCAAAAATTTTCTCCCATTCTGTAGGTTGCCTGTTCACTCTGATGGTAGTTTCTTTTGCTGTGCAGAAGCTCTTTAGTTTAATTAGATCCCATTTGTCAATTTTGGCTTTTGTTGCCATTGCTTTTGGTGTTTTAGATGTGAAGTCCTTGCCCATGCCTATGTCCTGAATGGTATTGCCTAGGTTTTCTTCTAGAGTTTTTATGGTTTTAGGTCTAACATGTAAGTCTTTAATCCATCCTGAATTAATTTTTACACCTTATACACTTTTTAAAAAATGCAATATTTGCTGGGCATGGTAGTTGTTGCCTGTTATCCCAGCAGTTTGGGAGGCCAAGGTGGTTGGATCACTTGAGGCCAGGAGTTTGAGACCAGCCTAGCCAATATGGTAAAACCGCATCTCTACTAAAAATACAAAAATTACTGCCATGGTGGCGCATGCCTGTAGTCCCAGCTACTCAGGGGACTGAGGCACGAGAATCGCTTGAACCCAGAAGGCAGAGGTTGCAGTGAGCTGAGATCATGCTACCACACTCCAGCCTGGGTAATAGAGCGAGATTCTGTCTCAAAGGAAAAAAAAAGCAATATTAAATAGAAACAGGAGTTTAAAACCATTTTGTCTTTAGGACGACTATTTGCTTTAATAAAGTTGTTTTCTTTGAAGCATATTAATTTTAGGTTATCCCTATGTGACTGACTATTAATTGCTATCACCAGATACTGTGAATTTATTATTTTTTTCATTTTTTTCATAGTGTATTTTTATTTTTAATTTGTATGGGTAGAGGGAAGAAAGACATCTTTAATTTGATTAATATTTTAGTTAATTAAGATAAGCCATAGGTGAATGATAAAGAGAAAAGAGATAGGCTTTTGATTCACACAAGACTGAGTTTAATTTCTAGCTTCCTCACTTGATAGGTGTGACCTTGCAAACATTACATAATACCGAGTATGACTTTCTATGTGAAAAGGAGAATAATGATATGTGCTTTAAGGATGATTGTGTTGAAGTAACATTATAAATATCAACAGCATTTAATTCAGTGTCTCATACATTCTTATCAACATCATTAACTAAACTTACTATGACTACTACTAATATCATTATTCCTAATATTGTTTTAAGCCTTCAGATTGCTCTCTCTTGTCTGACTTCTAGCTGATTTTTAAGTATAAAATATTATATCAGACTAAGCAAGAAATAGATAATTCTTCCCTTAAATCTTTGCCTCTTTTAGGTTAGTGAACAAATCATAATTCCTTGCCCCTCAAGGGACTTTATGTTAGCCAATTCTAGTATGCCACACCCCAGTGGGACATGAGTCTTTTTGCCCCTTCCTTTTAGATTTGGTGGTGATTTGCAAGGATAAACACTTGAGCACTCAAGATACTTATGTTTGTTAGTACATGTAAATGGTTAATTCTACACTGATAGGCACATATTAAATTGATTCTGCTCATAATAAGTTATCTCTTTGTTATTTTAGCACAGCCCTCATGCTTGCCATATGTGAAGGCTCATCAGAGATAGTCGGCATGCTTCTTCAGCAAAATGTTGACGTCTTTGCTGAAGACATACATGGAATAACTGCAGAACGTTATGCTGCTGCTTGTGGAGTTAATTAGTAAGTGTTTACATTTAAAGGCTAGGTGAAATTTTATTGTTTGTTTCAGGGAGTTTTTGAAAGACAGTGACTTAGTTCACTTCATCAGCCAGAAACTAGGCAAAAAGCCAGACTAGTTAGAAGGAGTACTGGGTCCAGGATTCTTTATTTTAGGACTTTCAACAGCTTTATCCCTAGGGATCCTAATGTTGACTGCTTGATTTGAAGTATAACCCCTAGGCTCGGGATAAACACAGTGTCACAATTTTGATTTTTCTAATTAGTTATTTGGGTCTGGAAATGTCCACTTCGGCAGAAAACCTGATAATGTCCCCTGGGGGCTGTCTTCCATACCTTAATACTTGAATTTTTAAAAGGAATCTAAGGGGTTCCTTAAGTCCAAGGAAGACATTCATTTTGCATAAGTCAGAAGGATTTGGGGGGACACGGCCATTCTCTTCTTTTTGTTGTTTCCATTGATTCTGTTGCTGCGCCGTTGCCATTGAAACTGCCCCTGCAGTCTGGTAATGATTGACCTTTGTGACCAGGATGCCCTTACTAACACAGATCCCTCAGTTTTCATGGTGATCCATATATAGACTTCAAAGTCATTACAGTTTTTTAAAGTTCACATACATATTCTCAGCCATTGTTTCCAAAGTACCAGCACCCTGCTCTGGCAGCTAGGACTTTTATCTTTTGCCACACACATAGTGAGCAAATTGACCATTCTCCTCCCACTCAAAACCTGATGTGAAACCCACATCTTAGCCCGGACTTGGCCTAGACCTTCATGATAAGTTATCATTTGAGTGACTTTTTCTATTTTCTCTAGCAAATATTAGTTGTGAAAGTTTAAGACTGTACGACAGGTTGAAATACTGTTACAGGAAGAAATTAGAGATCCATTTTTATTTTGTTACCAGATCTATATTCCTGGCACTTTATATCCCGTGTAGCACCATTTTATAGGTAGTGGAAGGTCTCATCTTATTCTGTAAAATCCCATGTCATCTTTCCAAAGTTGTAGTGGGTTCCAACTTGTGGTTGTTCCCTCAAGTGATTCCCTTTTCCTGAAAGTAAAAATCTTCCATGTTACTTGCATCTTTACCTCGAGTTTTTAAAATCTTTTCAAATTCTGCATTACCATGAAGGCATTCAATAGACTTCACTCTATCTCAAGTAAGTTGCTTAGATTTAACAGAGCTAAGCCTCATCCATCACTGATCAGTCTTCACATATAAAAGTAGGGATTTGTGCTGGTGTCAGGGGTACATATACTAAAATTGAAACAATGTCAAGAAGGTTAGCAAGGTCCCTGCACAAGGATGACACACAAATCTGTGAAGTGTTGCATATTTCTTGCAGTCCCCAAAAGGACATTTGACTAACTAGCTCCAAGGAAATGGTGTGAGTCAAAGCAAAATGGGTGACTCCCAGGATTGCACTTGTGATTTTCATACAAAAAATATTTATGTAAGGTGATCTATGAAATGAGATGTGGTAACACATAGGATCTTGTGTGCAATATGTTGTTAGTAGGCCTCTCAGAAATGAGAAAATACCAACTTGCATCTTGTTTGTGGAACTTACAAAAAATAAAGGTAGGGTTTTGTGTTCCACAGCAGCTGGAAATGAACATCGTGACTTAAGCATCATTCTAACAAAGATTTGTTGATTCAGGTTTAAGGAGGTAGATAAACAGTAGTAGTAGTCCAAGCCAGGTGCTGAGATCTGTTAGTTTTCTGCCCTTGGTGTGATTGATGAGGTCGGTAATAGAGGATAATCAGGTTATCCAATGTAATGAATTAATATATTTACAAATAAATTTCATTACAAATTATAAAATAGCTTAGATGCCTTGAATTACAAGCCACAAAGAATAGAGCATCTAATAACCAAAAGTAGGAATTAATAACAGAAAACTGCAACATTTCAACATTACAACCTATGAAGAAACACTTTTTTTAAAAAAATTAAATTTATTTTTTGTAGAGACAGGGTCTCCCTGTGTTGCCCAAGCTGGTCTTGAACTTCTGGGCTCAAGCAATCCCCCTGTCTCAGCATCCTAAAGTGCTTGCATCACAGGCATGAGCCATTGCACCAGGCCAACACATTGGGTTTTATTGGGAATTTTAAAATAGTTTCAGCAATAAGATTCAAGAATAAATTATTTCATTGCTTCACTATTTCTTTGAGCATTTTAAAAATGTTATCTTGTTAAATCTTTGTAATAACCTAGTGAAATAAGTCTCTAAAATCCTCATTTTTAGAAGACATTGAGCCTAAGAGAAGCAACTTGTTCAAGAAAAAATACCTGTTGGTAACTGCGCTAGGACTTTTTCTGAGTTAGGGACATTTTCCATTAAGCCAAGCTAACTCTAGTTAATTTACTGAGTTATACTGCCCTCAATTCATGAGTATTTCATCTTACTTTATTTATTATTTAATTAGAAGCTTAATAAGTTCATAGAGCTTACAAACTTAAAGTCTGTGAAATAAGTAACATTCTGATGTTAGCTCTGATATTGTCTGAAATACTCTAAGAACTTAATAAATTTGGTAAATGTTTTTTATATCTTGTTAAAATAGTAATTTTATTTATTACATTTTTATACATAGCATTCATCAACAACTTTTGGAACATATACGAAAATTACCTAAAAATCCTCAAAATACCAATCCAGGTAAGACTTCGGATAGCAAACTACTCTTGATGGTGCTACCATAAGATTAGGGAAGTGCTGATCACAAAAAAGCAATTCAAAAAGCAATGTGCAAATAGCATGTGTTTACATATATACATATATGTGGGTGTGTGTGTGTATATATATGTATACATAGCTTTGATTTATTTTTTAAATTTATTATTCAGAATTAGTTAAGAATTTAGGTGTAGGTAGTTTATAATCTCAAAAAATATTATCTGAAAAAATATTTAATTATGGTCCCTAAAATCCTATATAATATTTTGTGTATATAGGTAACACAATTTTTAAGTTTGTATATTGTTTGATTCCTCAATTGTCATAACAACTTAGACTTGTTATACAATGTATAATCCTTGGTGTGATTGATGAGCTCAGTAACAGGGGATGATCAGGTCATCCACTTTAATGAATTAATATATTTATAAATAAATGTTATTACAAATGATAATTAGTTTACATGCCCTGAATTACAAGCCACAAAGAATTGAACATCTAATAATGGAGAGTAGGAATTAATAACAGAAAACTGTAACATTTGAATATTATAACCTGCGGGGGTCTATCCTGCAGATCCCGGCTGCATGACGGATGAGACACATACCCAGACACCCATATTCAGTGAAAGAGCAGCAAGGGTTCCGAGCCCATTACAGACACCAAGGAAGGTGCTGTAAGGAGTCAGCAGCCACAACCCTGGCAAGCTGGCCCTGTGGGCATTTATTAGCAAAGTTTTAATGACAAAGGCTTTGAGTCAACATACCTGTGGGTAATTAATCTGGTCACCCCACCCCAGGAGAGCCATCCTGCCCATGGGTGATCAAAGGGGAGTCTTAAGACTGCATGAGTAAACAAGCTATTTAGATAAACTACTCTACTTTCCTTTGTACCCACTTTAGGCTATTTACTCAAGGTAAGGATTAGACTGCTTTCAGCCATAACCCTATCTTGAGACTTTTACAAAACCTTCTGGCCTTCCAAGGAGATTTGTGTCTATGTCCTATAATGTCATCTTAAAATGTTTCCCACAAGCCTGATGAACTCACACAATAAGCTATGAAGAAACATGGTTTTATTTATTTATTTATTTATTGTAGAGACAGGGTCTTCTTATGTTGCCCAGGCTGGTATTGAACTTCTGGGCTTTATTTAATTTTTACAATAAATGGTTTGCATTTAGTAAATGAGAGTTAATTACAGTTGAATCTTGAGCAATATGAGAGTTAGGGTGCTGATCCCCCATGCAGCTGAAAATCTGCTTCATATGAAAATCTGTTTCTTTTGACTCCTCCAAAACTTTGCTAATATTCCACTGTTGACCTGGAGCCTTATTGAAAGCATAAACAGTCAATTAAACACATAGTTTCTATTTTATATGTACTATATACGGTATTCTTACAATAAAGTGAGCTGGAGGAAAGAAACTGTTATAAGGAGGAAAAAATATATTCACTATTTATTAAGTGGAAGTCAATTATTATACATAAAGGTCTTCATTCTTACTGCCTTCATGTTGAGTAGTCTGATAAGGAGAAGGCAGAGGAGAGATTTGTCTTGCCATCTTGCAGTGGGAAAGGAAAAGAAAAATCTATTAGTGGGCTCCTAGAGTGAAAACCCTTATTCAAGGATCAACTGTGTGACAAAGTGACTTGTGTCACTAAAAAAGTAACTATCTTTAGAATTTGGAATTTAATAATACTTTTCTGGCACCATAAACAAATGTCAGCAAGAATTACAAAACTTAGCCAGGGTGCATCAGTACCAATAGGAGATTATCTTTCAAAGATACCTACTGAGTGCAGAAGTCAGAAAAGCAATTCTTTGTTGAGAAGCGCAGGTTATGTTACGTAGTCTTGTACCAACAAGGTCTCACTATTATCAACTTCATTCCGTCTAAGTTGAAACCAAATAAGATATATTTACTTCATTAGAGCAAGGTATGTTGTTCTATCTACTGGATAATTAGTGTGTTAATAGTAATTTTGTTACAGCAAGATACTCTAATAGCCAAAATATTATCATTATAAATATTCAAATAGCTTAACTCTAAACACAAAAAATTATAAAAAAATTACAAAAACTTTTCACAATAATGAAAATGCTACTGTGATACCTAAATGTGACACAATGCATTGTACAATATGAACTGTATGAGCACATCTTTATTATATATTTATCAAAGGACCTCTATAAGTTAGGTTTGGCAAGTTGCAGGAGACAAAGATGGAATACACATAGTTTGGGTCTTTAAGGTGCTCATAATACAGAAGAGCTGTGCCTATTGAATTTCTGCATTTTTCCAACAGAATTTCCTTAAAAATGTTTTTTATTCATTTATCTGCTTGTCCACTTAACAAATAACTGTCAGGTATCTTTAAGGTACTAAGTATCTTCCTTGTTATTATCATTGTCATTTTTTATTTGCTTCTTTATTAAGATACTAAGCATTTTTCTTATTATTATTATCTTTTTTATTATTTATTACTTTATTTAGTGTTTACTCTGTGCCAGAACCCCTTTTGGAGCTTATAATTATTACTTACTATGTCATGCCATTACCATATTCAGCATGTGTCAGAAATTTTATATCCAAGGTGAAGAATTAAAGCTTTAAAATGTTTGGTAGTGTCCAGGCACAGTGGTTCACTCCTATAATCCTAGCACTTTGGGAGGCCAAGGCAGATGAATTGCTTGAGCTCAGGAATTTGAGACTAGCCTGACTAACATGGTGAAACTCGTCTCTACTAAATACAAAAAATTAGCCAGGTGATGTGGCCTGTGCCTGTAATCCCAGCTACTTGGGAGACTGAGGTAGGAGAGTCGCTTGAGGTAGGAGAATCGCTTGAATTGCATTGAGCTGAGATCATGCCACTGCACTCTAGCCTGGGTAACAGAGCAAGACTCCATCAAAAAAAAGAGAAGAGAGAAAAGAAAAGTTTGGTAATATTTAAGGAAAGCATACAGAATAAGTAGAAGTTTGCCAGGTGAAGTCAGGAGGATGATATTTAAGCAGAAAGAAAATTTAACCAGATTGTGTGTTTGGCAGAAGGAACATCTACAGGAACACCTGATGAGGCTGCACCCTTGGCGGAAAGAACACCTGACACGGCTGAAAGCTTGCTGGAAAAAACACCTGACGAGGCTGCACGCTTGGTGGAGGGAACGTCTGCCAAAATTCAATGTCTGGGGAAAGCAACATCTGGAAAGTTTGAACAGTCAACAGAAGAAACACCTAGGAAAATTTTGAGGCCTACAAAAGAAACATCTGAGAAATTTTCATGGCCAGCAAAAGAAAGATCTAGGAAGATCACATGGGAGGAAAAAGAAACATCTGTAAAGACTGAATGCGTGGCAGGAGTAACACCTAATAAAACTGAAGTTTTGGAAAAAGGAACATCTAATATGATTGCATGTCCTACAAAAGAAACATCTACAAAAGCAAGTACAAATGGTAAGATGCTTGAGTGAACTTTGCAGGGTTTATTGGCACTTTGGGTTCCCTAGTGAAAAAAGTGTGATATGGGAGTTGTTGGGAATGTCTTGAATATCTAAATAAGGCAAGCTTAGGCAACACTTTTTAATAGTGTAGAAATAAATAGATCTTATTCTGTAGGCCCTGGAAAAATTCTCACAATACTTCTGGTTGTAAATACTAGATGAACTAACTAACAGTGGCTAAAATCATAGGAACCAAAGTTGTTTTGGTAGTACAGGGATATCATAGGATCCCTTTTGTATTTTTTATTTTATTTTATTTATTTAGTTTTTGAGATGGAGTCTCGCACTGTTGCCTGGGCTGGAGTGCAATGGCGCGAGCGATCTCGGCTCACTGCAACCTGCGTCTCCTGGGTTCATGCAATTCTCCTGCCTCAGCCTCCCAAGTAGCTGGGATTACAGGCACCCACCACCACACCTGGCTGATTTTTTGTATTTTTAGTAGAGACAGGGTTCCACTATATTGGCCAAACTCCAACTCCTGACCTCGTGATAGCCCCGCCTTGGCCTCCAAAAGTGCTGGGAATTCAGGTGTGAGCTACTGCGCCCAGTCAGGATCCCACTTTTGGTTGGCTAATTAGCAACAGCTCCAATCATCATGCTCTCTCAAGACAATATTTAAAGGCTGGAAGGGCTGCTTTGTTCACATTTTTCTTTTAAATAGAGAGAAAACTTGGAAGCTTGCAATAATCTTCCTGTAACATTTTGTTGGCTGGATTATACCACATGCTCATTTCTAAGCCAGTCACTAGGAAAGCAAATGTAATTACTGTGATTAGCTTAGAAGAATGATTTCTATTTTTGAGATGGAATGGGGGTAATGGAATAATGAATATCTAAATAAACTTGTGTTTCTGCAGCAAAAAAAGAATAAATAATGACTAGGCATAGGAAGCCAGTAATGTTTTCTGCAGGGATTCATTGGAAAGGTTTGAGCAGGGGAGTCACAAGATTGGATCTGAGCATCAGGGCATTCTGGTCGTGGTATAAGGCAGAGATTGGCAAACTTTTCCTGTAAAGTGCCAGATAGGAAATATGTTAGACCGCTGGGTGTGGTGGCTCACGCCTATAATCCCAGCAGTTTGGGAGGCTGAGGCATGTGGATCGTGAGGTTAGGAGTTCGTTCGAGAACAGCTTGGCCAATATGGTGAAGCCCCATCTCTACTAAAAATATGCAAAATAGCCAGGCTTGGTGGCACGTGCCTGTAATCCCAGCTACTTGGGAGGCTGAGGGAGGAGAATTGCTTGAACCCAGGAGGCGGAGGCTACAGTGAGCTGAGATCGCACCATTGCACTCCAGCCTGGGTGACAGAGCAACACTCCATCTGAAAAAAAAAAAAGAAAAAGAAAAAGAAAAAGAAATATGTTAGGCCATGTGTCTCTATAACAGCTATTGAACTCTGCATTGTAGAGTGAAAGCAGCCATAGATAATGTGTGAGCAAATAGGCATGATTGCACTCCAAGAAAACTATGTATAAAAAACCATTTGGTAAGCTGAATTTGGCCTGTGATACACAGTTTGCTGGCCCTTCACATAGAAGATAGATGGAGGGTAATTACATAAAAAGATTTAAAGACAAAGTAAGCTTTTGTAGTAGTTCATGCTATAGTCTTTTTTTTTGTCACCAATCTGTGGCCTAGTATCAGTCTATTATGAAAATTTGACCCTTCCAGGGTAAAAGGAATCAAGTTCAGAAGCTCAATTTACAGATTTAAACCTGTATGTCTTTCTTTGCCATTATTTTATTTTGATTTGTTTTACTGAATTTTTTTTAACTTAAAAAATAACGATAGTAATTGGTAGGGTTTCTTTTTCACTGTGAAAGCCATCAGTTAAGGGGCCATGTCTAAGTAGGAAATATAAATATAAAATAATAAGTTTGTATTCCCAGTGTCACTGGAAAGATAAAGCAAGGGCAGAAAAGAGGTACAGTTAATATGGTTTAGTTATTATTGAGTTTAAAAAGCTAGGGGACAGAGAAAATCTCAGGTCTTAAGTTTACAGACTGTGCATGAGCATTTACAATGCTCATGGGGAAGGAGTAGAAAATTGTCAGGTCAGGGCTGGGCATGGTGCCTGTAATCCTAGCACTTTGGGAGGCCAAGGTGGGCAGATCATGAGGTCAGGAGATGGAGACCATCCTGGCTAACACGGGTGAAACCCCGTCTCTACTAAAAATACAAAAAATTAGCTGGGCGTGGTGGTAGGTGCCTGTAGTTCCAGCTACTCAGGAGGCTGAGGCAGGAGAATGGCATGAACCCAGGAGGTGGAGGTTGCAGTGAGCCGAGATCTCACCACTGCACTCCAGCCTGGGTGACAGAGCGAGACTCCATCTCAAAAAAAAAAAAAAAAAAAAAAAAAGAAAAGAAAAGAAAAGAAAAGAAAATTGTCAGGTCAGCAGAGAAGTGCAAATAGTCATGGGACAGACCAACCATTTTCTTTACATATTGAGTTCAATGAAACATTCATGTGGGATATTTTCTGTAGGTAATTGGTTTATACGTATTTCTAGCTGGAGATAGAACTCTGGTTGGAGATGTAGGCTTAGAATAATTTTATTATAATTATTAGGCAAAGCCATAGATCTCAATGAGCTTATCCATGATGCAGAAGATGTAGAATAAGAAGAAAGCCATTGACAAAACCCTGGGAGTATCAACATTTCACAGAGTCAGAAGACTTGGTAAAGGAGATTGAGCAGTGGCTAATGAAAAGTAGGAGAGGAGTTACTTTTAAATGTGAGAATTTCAAGCAGTAAGATTACTGAAAAGCCAATTAGATTTAACTTACAAGTTCTTCAGTGGTAATCTGTTCAAAAGAATTATTTTAGGGTTGTTAAGTATACTGTTGATATGGTTGATATTTCTGGTGTCGAAGAAAAAATCTCCCAAGATCCTACCTAACTTTTTGTAACTGAAGCAGCCAACATACCCAGGGTCTGGAAAATTGTCTAGACTGGTAAGTACACATGCCAATATTTTTCCAGAATTGTCAAAACCTAAGAGTAAAGTGTGAGGAAAAGTGTTGTCTTTTTTATCTGCTTCTTGTGGAGAGTGGAGATCTGTGTTGTGTCTCTCTCTCACACAAACATAAACAAACACACACAAATAAGTACAGTAATTCACCCTTATCCATGGGGGGTATTTTCTAAGACACCCGGTGAATGTCTGAAACTGTGAATAGTATGAAACCCTATATATACATGTTTTTTCTATATATGCATATTTATGATAGTTTAATTTATAAATTTGGCACAGTAAGAAATTAAGAATAACTCATGATAAAATAAAACAATAATAATACATTGTAATCAAAGTTAGGTGAATACGGTCTCTCAAAGTGTCTTGTATTGTACTCACCCTTCTTTTTCTTGTGATGACTGTGAGATGATATAATGCCTATGTGATGAGATGAAGTCAGGTGAATGAGGTAGGAGTTGTCATGTGGTGTTAGGCTACTAATTATTTCTGGCTATCTGACTACATATCAGAAGGTGGATCATCTGCTTCATGTGATGGTGGATCATTGAGCCATGATAATGTTGATGGTTGGGACTCAGAAACAGACCATTTTGATGGGCAGATAGCATATGCAAAGGAATGATTCATGACCTGGGTGAGATGGAAAATGATGTCTTTATATTTCATCATACTCCTTAGAATGACACATTATTTAGAACTTATGACTTGCATATTTCTAGAATTCCCCATTTAATATTTTTGGACTATGGTTGACCATGAATAACTGAAATCACAGAAATCAAAACCATGGATATTATATTGTGAAATCTATATTTGGTCTTCAACACTGTTTTCTGGCGTACAACTCATAGAATGTTTAGAATCTCCAAAGTGATGTCTTTGTATGCTAATAATTGAGTGATGGCTGGCAGTCCCTAGGTAGCTTCAGGATAGGAGCTGGTCACAAGAAAGAAGAAGACATGATGTGTTGGGACTTTCAGCCCCACCCCTCAACCTCCTAGGAGGTGAAGATTAGGTCAATTACCAGGAGCCACAGATTTTTTTTATTCATGCCTATGTAATAAAGCTTTCTTTAGAACCCAGAAGGACTGGGATCAGAGACCTTCCAGATAGCTGAACATATGGAAGTGTTTGGAGGCTGATGTGCCCTGGGAGGGCATGGAAGCTCCATGCCCCTTTCCTATAACTTGCTCTATGCATCTCTTCATGTGTCTCCTTTGTGATACCCTTCATAATAAACTGGTAAATGTGTTTCCCTTAGTATTTGGGGCACTCTAGTACGTTAATCAAACCCAAAGAGGGAGTCATGAGAATCCCAACTTGAAACCAGCTGGTTAGATGATTCAGAAACCCACATTTGCAACTGATGTGGGAGGGCAGTCTTGTGAGACTGAGCCCTCAGCCTGTGGGATCTAACACTATTTCTAGATAGATAGTGGAATTAAATAGAGGACAACTTGCTGGTTTCTGCTACAGAATTGTTTGCTTATTTTTTGGTGGACAAAATCTTCCACACATTTGGTCACAGAAGTCTTCTGTTTTGATGACTGTGGCATGAGAGCAGAGGGAAATCATGTTGTGTGTGTTTCTTTCTACACATAGAGCAGATAAAGAGAGACTACTGTGTACTCTGCTCTAACTGCTCTTAGTTCATTTTTCTAGAAATTATACTTTCTAAGGTTGACACTGTCCACTTACACTAATTCTGATAATAATACAATTTTCTGTCCGTCTTACAGGATTCTGTTTGGATTATGACTATTGTATACTGTAGCTCACTTGTAGAGATCAGATTGTGATAAATTCTATTTTTCCGTGCATTTGAGAACTATAAAGGAGGGGAAAAGTGTTCTTAATGCATTAATTTCCTACCAAGAGTATACTTAATAATAATTTTACTATAGTCTCAAGGTATGGTCCCAAAGGAAACCTTTATATCAAATCATCTGAGTCTTCATAACAAAGTGTTGGAATATTATGCTTTTTTAAACAAGATCTGGATCATGCACGAAAATATGCATGATTCTTTTAAATTAAGTTGAAGTCTCGCAATGTCTCCTAGGCTGCTTTCAGACTCCTGGGCTCCTCAGGCGATCCTCCTGCCTCACCTTCCCAAGTAGCTGGGATTACAGGCATTTGCCATCGTGCCCTCTTACGTTGTTAATACTCTGTATTTTCTATTTATATTTGTTAATTTAATGTATTTTACTTTTTTTCTTTAATAGTGGATGTGAGTTCTGTAGAGCCTATATTCAGGTAAGACTTTGCGGTTTTTTAAAACGAATAGGTTAACTCAGAAAACATAGAGAAAAGAAATCACTATCTGCTGAGTATTCTACTCTGGGCTAGACAACATATTATGTGCTTAATATTTATCATCTCACATAGTCATCACACAGCTTTGCAAAGCATCTGTGCTACTGTCACATACTTTGTATTAAACAGGCAAATGTGGTTCAGAGAGGTTGATTAATTGGCCTATGATTCATAGCTAAAAAGTAGCTGACCCTTGAGTTTGCCATCTGCCTACTTTGGTCCCTAATCCCTTCTCTTCTCCCTCAGCATAGATTGATGGAGACCTCTGCATCACTGAGATCAAGGTACAGGTCCAGATTGGATCAATTCACAAAGTTACATTTTGTTACAGGTTAACTCTTTTTAGAGTTTTCTCTTAGAACACTCATTCATCAAATACTTTGTTCTAACATGTTTAACTGTTAAAGCGGTAACCAGTACCTTGTTATTATCATCAAAGTGTTTAGAGCAGATCTTACTTAGCTGTGGCCACAAGACATAGGCTTTTGTTTCATAAGAAGACCAGGTAAATCTATAGATGGATTATTTTACTCTTAGTGGAGAATAGATATAGATATGTTATGTTAATCATATTTAGAGGCTATATCTTATAGAATTCTCTATTGACTGACTTCCAAGTTTAGTTTTTCTTCAAAGCAGTTCCCTGCCTAGTTGCAGGCATTTTTCATTTTTTTTCTAGAGTCTTTTTTTCTTCTTCCATGACTTTTCTATAATCCTTTCCTGATTACTTTCTTCTCTGCTTTGCTTGGTGTTCTTTTCTTCTATTGTTTTATTCCTTTCTGCCAGCACCATTTTTCTATAGCTAAAATAAAAGGCACGTGGAATTTTAGGATTTTAAGGACTCTTGGAGGCTAATCAAAATACTTTCATATTTCAACATGTATTTAATATCCTGGAAAAATGGTTGTTCAGATGGAGAGTCTGAAACTCAAAGTGACTTATTTAAATATAGGAGGTAGGAGAAGTAATATTTAAACTGATTTCAAAGCCCATTACTCTTGTTTTTATATCATCATGTAGGTGAGTGTTTGAATAATAGGAAGAGGGAATGGGTCTAATTAAACAAATGGAAAAGGATAAGAATGGAATTAGCTGGAGAACCCAGTGGAAGTAGATAAGAATGGAATTATCAGGGAAAGGCCAAGTTTGAAAAGAAACAATCCCAGGATTGGTAGGAGTAAGGGTTTTACCAAAGAGATCAGAATGTTGGATTTTATGACAAGTTTGATTAAAGATAAATTAGAGGATCAAAAACACAGAAGACATTGGGAGTTATCTAGAAGAGCATACTAAAATAGGGTTCAAAGACGTCCTGAATAGGTCACTGCTTTTTTGCTTGTTTAATTGGAGGAATGGGCAAACTTCAAGCTTTCTATTGAAAGATAAAAAAAAAAAGAGCCACTGGGAAAGGTCTCTACAATCCGATAGAAATGTCCTATTCTGTTCTTTCACCCCAAATCTCACAAGAGTGGCTTAGAGCCCCTTGAATGCTAGGGGATTAAAGGTTGCTGAGTCACATAGATCTGTGGCCCAAGGCAGATGTCCCCTCCCCTTTGTCTCTTTTCCCAAGCCTCAGATGTCCTACCCATGTACATATAAAGCAGGGGTAAGATTGACTGGCAAGTAAGTCGTGGTTCAGTTGGGTTTTTGGTAACATGCTTATGCTGGAGGTGAATGACTGACTGAGACTCCATTTCGTTGTTTTTCAGGAACAGGTGAATACAGAACTTCTTGGTTGGTCATTGAGTTTATCTTTTCAGTAGTCTGTGCTTTGATGAGCTGAATATTTAAAGGTTGGAGACTGCCATGAAGCCCTGCAGAAGAAAGATCTGGAAGTGAGAGAGACACTTTCACTATATATAGTGGCTCCCACTTCCAGATCTTTCTC
This sequence comes from Homo sapiens, assembly GCF_000001405.40. Lineage (NCBI taxonomy): Eukaryota > Metazoa > Chordata > Mammalia > Primates > Hominidae > Homo > Homo sapiens. Next base: position 14,771,322 of record NC_000018.10, read on the forward strand.
TCTGTATATATAGTACTTAGAGAAATCCAACTATCAGGTCTCAGTTTTTCTAGCAGTCTCTCTCCTTGGGTATAAGTACCTATGAAGATTTTTAAGGCTTTGCTAGTTTATGTAGACCTGAACAAGGAAGGACAAGTATAAAATAAGTAGTTAGACTTTCTTACTTTTAATGTTTCAATTTTTGTGAGAAAATATTCCGAATAACAAATATACATTTGCAACTTGAAATTTGTAGGTTCAGCTTTTCAACATTTCAAATATTTCAGGGCACTGTTTTGTAGTGTTTCAGGGTGAAGGGAAGCAACAGGGCCTTCTTAAGTGGCTTTTATGTTGAAAAACAAAGAATGTCATTTTCCAGTGACACAGATTAGTCTTTGAATCAGAGATAGACAATGGATAAGGGACAAGGTAACTGTATCTTTCTTCCTTATTTTAGGTTATCAAGTTTGTTCCAGTTTATATATCAAAAGTTATGTCAGCCATTAAGTAGATTTCCAGTTCATCATTGAGGACAGTTTGTGAGGATGAATTATACTCAGGGTATGCCAATTATATTGGCAGTCACTATTTCTTATGGAACTAAGAGTCAGTCTTTATTGTATGTTTTAGGTTGGGGAGGTAGAGTCAAAAATAGGTAACTAAAATCATTTTTAAAAACAGAGGACATATTTTAATTCTACCAAGAAACATGATATAATATACAGAGGACTGGTCTTTCCCCAGATTTTGTTTTTTGTTTTCATTTTATAGAGTGAGCACCAAGATATGAACTAGCAGATTTTCTTTTTAAATATATGAATTTGCTCATTTATGTTGTATCATTTTTCTTTAAAGTCTTTTTGGCACACGGACTATTGAAAATTCACAGTGTACAAAAGTTGAGGAAGACTTTAATCTTGCTACCAAGGTAAAATGTTCTTTTGTGAAGTTGATTTTCTCAGTTGCAATATATTTCTGTATAGTATTTCTTAGCAGTGGTGTATGTATCATTATTTCATGTTGGTAATATAAAGTTGGTCAGATAAAAACATTTTATAGAAATAGGAGTAGTTGATTTAAACAGTTTTTTTTTTTTTTACTTTAGTAAATAACAAATGATTGGTAAATACTTTGAGGGTGTGAGGGCCGAAAAATGGAATGGGCTGGAGAATACATAGTGACAGGAACATTATACTAGAAAAAACTTTTCCACAATAGAGAATATATAAAATCTGGTAAAGATTTATTTGGATAAGTAAACTTACTGTGACTTTTAAAATTATTCTTTTGTAACTTAAAACAAAATTCATGCTTAAATTTGTCTTGATGGACCCAGTTTCTTATTATAGTAATCAAGGAATCTCTCTGATACTGTTCAGTTCCGAAACTGTGCCACATAGCATATAGGGTTTTTTTTTTTTTTTTTTGCATGTATTATTTTGATATCACGTAGTTTTCAGGAGAGAGCTTTTTCTCAGTTTCTCTTCTTGGTTCTTTAATTACACCAAAATAATATTAGAAATTGTGAAAATTTATTTGGGCATGGTGGTGCATGCCTGTAGTTCCAGCTACCAGGGAGGCTGATGCAGGAGGATTGCTTGAGCCCAAGAGTTTGAGACCAGTGTGGGCACATAGCGAGACCTTATCACTAATTTTAAAAATAATTGTAGAAATTTAGAAATGTAAATTCTGTTTCTCAGAATCTGTATTATTAAGGCATGCCAGTGTGTTTTCTAAGTTTTTCATTAAAAGTATGCTTTAAATTCTTCATCTAAATGAAGAATGCAGATTTTACCCCAAGTAAACAACCAGTTCTGGAAGCAGAGACTCTGAATAAGCATATAGTAAGATTTTAATTTCAGAATTTTTAAATTGCAGTTTTTAAATATATTGTTCAAAGATCTTTGATCACATTTGAAAATCTTAAATTATGGAAGATTTTGTATTTAGTTATTTAAATAATCATTTTGGAGCTCTTGCATCACTATGAGATACTGCAGGTTAGAAAACATACGTGTGTGCATCCTAGTGTACCCAGAATACAGTCTTGCCTATAAAAAGATTTTAAGAGGTTTTCAATGTGAATAAATAAGCTGACAAATGAATTTTTATATAATGGAATATTACAAGTGAGATAATATGCATGATATATCTTATAATTAAATCTAATGCATTTCAAAAATATGGCTTAAATTTATATTTTCTTTTAATATTTAGAATGCATAAATTCATGTGAAAATATGTCTCAAATAAGAAGACAATCAGAGATATGTAGTAAATAGGAAAGAAGATTACACTATATTTTCTAGTATCCTCCAAGTGGAGTTTAGATTAAAATAATTTTAATCTCAACTCATGTTCTTTTTTTTTTTTTTGAGACAGAGTCTCTCTGTCATGCAGGCTGGAATGCAGTGGTGTGATCTCGGCTCACTGCATCCTCTGCCTTCTGGGTTCAAGCAATTCTCCTGCCTCAGCCTCCTGTGTAGCTGGGACTACAGGCGCATGCCACAATGCACAGTTAATTTTTGTAATTTTAGTAGAGACAGGGTTTCACCATGTTGGCCAGGATGATCTCTATCTCTTGACCTCATGATCCGCCCGCCTTGGCCTCCCAAAGTGCTGGGATTACAGCTTGAGCCCCCGCGCCCATCCAAAACTCAAGTTCTATTAAACATATCTTGTCAAGGAATACATTACTCTAAAATTCTGATTACCAGTACTTTCTTCAGGTGAAAAGTTTATGGAACATTCCATTTTAAATTTTTTCTCTCTCTGTAGTAAGAATGTTCCCGCTTTTAGGTATTGGCTGAAGACCATGTTTAACTAATTGAATGTCTTATTATATAATAATAAAATTAAAATCTTTATTACCCAGGTATTAACAAATAACTAATTGTAGTGTAAATACTGATCAGCATTATAGGAATATATTATGAACAAAAGTCTGTACTTTATGTGTTTCATCATATATCTTATAGTTGTTGTTTTTCATTTTATTTAATGACTGAAGCTCATACTTGATTGACTGGTCACGTCTCTTGTTTGTTTCTCCCTCCTCTTTCACCTTTTTAAAAATGATTTGCCCCAGACTTTTTTTCTCACAGAATACATTTCTTCAGTGTCTGCTTTTTAGAGCATTGCTGTCTCAATTGTCAGCATATTTATTTACAGGTTTCTATTTAGTGGCTATGTATGATTTTCATTAATCAATCATTGCCCTCTCCATGATTTATTCTTTTTTTCTCTGTTTCTTGGAAGAAGCAGAATTTATACAATTATTTATACTTAGCTTTTTGCCGTTCAGAATAGAAACAACCTATACTATTTCAATGCAAACCCAGTTAAATAAGGTACTATTAAAAACTAAACTTTCATATTTTTCCACACAAGAGGTAATTAATACAACTGTAAATTAGGAAGAGATATTGCAAAATATAACATGTAATTTAACTTTTTAAATTTTAATTATTTCTACAATACTATAAACTACGTAAGAGTAAATTTTTGTTCTAGGTTATTTTAGCTAAAAAAAAAAAAAATCTAAGGGCCAGGTGTGGTGGCTCATGCCTGTAATCCCAGCACTTTGGGAGTCCAAGGCCGGCAGATCACGAGGTCAGGAGATCGAGACCATCCTGGCTAACAAGGTGAAACCCCATCTCTACTAAAAACACAACAAAGTAGACGGGCGTGGTGGCGGGCGCCTGTAGTCCCAGCTACTCGGGAGGCTGAGGCAGGAGAATGGCATGAACCTGGGAGGTGGAGCTTGCAGTGAGCCCAGATCATGCCACTGCACTCCAGCCTGGGTGACAGAGCGAGACTCCATCTCAAAAAACAAACAAGCAAACCAAGAAATTATTTTCTGACATTTATCAGAACATACTTTATAATCATGTATCAAGTAGATAACAGCTGCATAGTGCAATTCTGCTAATTTGCAGGATTAATTTTGAAGCCAGTGTAGAATAGTGCAAAAGAAAATAAGGCTTAGAAGGCACTAGGAATCTATTTAGTTCTGAAGTTGTTTGTCTAAAAACTAAATAATTTCTCTGCATTGATTTATGGGCAATTATATGATTCTGTGTATATCTAGATGTACAAAAGCTCTAATTGGATTCAGGGAGAAAGAGTTTAAACTGTAGTCTTAGTCTTGCTCAACTTGGAACTTGAAAAGATAATGCCTGGGACTTCAAAATATCAGTATTGGTATATTTTGATTATCCAGTATAGATCTGAAGGAACATTTCTGGAGTTGGATAAACATGAGAAATAGGACACCTGTAAAACTATAATAACAACAATTTGGTCGAGTAGTATTTTAATAAGTAGACATTCTTTTCACAAATAGAACTCTTTGAGTTTCTTTGTGGCAGCCATGTTTGCAGCCACATAGGTATCAAATAATAATGATGTATTCCAAGGTCACAACTGTGGATGTGGAAGAGATAGCAAAGGCCTCACCAGTTAGGTAGAAGCAGCAGCTGCATAGTGGTAACAGCAATGAGTGGATGTCAAAAGATAAGTCTGTATTTGGTTCTGACACTTACTAGCTATGGGAACTTGGAAAAAATCAATTAACTTAACCAAATGCAACTAACTTGGTTTATAAAAATAGCGCTCATATCTACCTCTTAGTTGCATGTGATGAAATAATGTTTTAACAAATGTGAAAACATTTTTTAAACTGGAAAGTCTGTATACAAATGTAAGACAAAATGATCAAAGTGGCATTTATGTGAAAGCAGTATTGTTAGCACAAGAATGGGAAGTAAGAACAGGCATGTGGATTTCTAATTTTGGGTAAGGGGATGGTAACTTTCAGCAGGCTACTACTGCAGATTTTCCATAGAAATATAGCAGTTTGGAAAGTGAGACTTTCCTGATGAGATTTTCAATATTTTGACCTGGAGTAATTCCTTTCTGAGTACCAACTGTGTGCTAGGCAGTGAGTCTGAATATCCAAGATGAGGGATTATGCTGTAGTAGTAGGAAGAGAATAACAAATAAAAAACACTTATAAGCCACTATAACTTTTTCTTTAAAACAAAACAGAGAATGTTCAGTTAGAGAAAATTGGAGAACTTTATAATTAGCATGCGTATGGGAGTGGCAGTGGAATTCTATGGTCAGAGTAGATCTTTCTGAAACTGCCATTTAATCTCCCATCTCAAAGATGAGGAGTAAGCCATATGAAAGTCTAGGAGGAAGACATTCTGAACAGAGAACAGTGGACCATATTTGTTCATCATTTTGTTCTTAACAACTTAGAATGACTAGCATGCAGAAAGTGGGGTAACCACCCATGTCATCGTCATCCTCATTTTTCTAAGGTGAAGAAAAGTCTGCAAATATGTGTCTGGCATATGTTAGATGTTTCACGAACACGTTTTTATTTTTCTCTTTTTATGAAGGCTTGCTCTACTTTTCTGAAGTTGTGTATTAAGAATGAATTGCGTACTTTATCTAATGATTGTTTGCTTTCATTTAAAAATAACATAAATATAAGTTTTCCTTATGAATCTTTCCTTTTATTCAAGCAGTTCTGTATCAGCAAAAACTTGTAAAAATCATTCTTATTATTTTAAGCCCTTGTTTTCCTAACTGAATCAGCTTCTACAGAGTTCTACTCCTACTCCGCATGACATACTCTGAAAATTCTCTTCATGCCATGCATAGTTTTTAACAAAAATTCTATAATTATGCATATGTCAAGTGTTTAATCATATTGTGTTCTGGTTGAAATGCCCTATTATTTTTGGTGAGGACTACAGAGTAAGGCAGATACTTTGAAGTTAATTCCTTTTGAAATATGTACACGAGTGAATTTTTTATGAATATGATTTATTTTCCATGCTCAGTAACCCAGTCAATAGCCACATGAAGATAAAAGGTAAGTGTGATCTACAAAGCATACGTGAGGTTTTCTCTTGAAATGTTTTGGTTTTCAATATGTGAACAGCTTTAAATCTAATTGCCTTTAAAGTTAAAAAAAAGTTTTAATTATTTTTTTTTCTTTTTTGAGACAGAGTCTTGCTCCGTCACCATGCTGGAGTGCAGTGGAGTGATCTCAGCTGACTACAACCTCCACCTCCCAGGTTCCATCGATTCTCCTGCCTCAGCCTCCTGAGTAGCTGGGATTACAGGCACCCACCACCACGCCAGGCTAATTTTTGTATTTTTAGTAGAGACGGGGTTTCACCAAGTTGGCCAGGGTAGTCTCGATCTCTTGACCTCGTGATCCCCCCACCTTGGCCTCCCAAAGTGCTAGAATTACTGGCATGAACCACTGCACCTGGCCCCATAAAAAAGATTTTAAATAAAAAATATTGATGCTTGTCATTTTTATTATTTTTAAATTGAAATTATTTATTGATGTGGCTCAAGCCATAATCCCAGTGCTTTGGGAGGCTGAGGCGGGCGGATCACTTGAGGTCAGGAGTTCGAGACCAGCCTGGCCAACATGGTGAAACGCCATCTCTCCTAAAAATACAAAAAATTAGCCAGGTGTGGTGGCTCCTGCCTGTAGTCCCAGCTACTCAGGAGGCAGAAGGAGGAGAATCGCTTGAACCTGGGAGACAGAGGTGGCAGTAGGCCGAGATCACACCACTGAGCCACCCTGTGAGACTTCATCTCAAAAAAACAAAAAAAGGAAAAAGACAAATTATTTATTGGTATTACCTTTAACAGATTATCTCTAAGAGTGCTGCACAGAATTATACGTGTTTACCTGATGCTACATATCAAAAAGATATCAAAACAATAAATCACAAAATAGAAGGTAAGAACCATTTTTTATTTAAAACATCTTTTGACCAAATGTTTGTCTAAATTCATGAGGACTGATATACTCTGACAGCCAGAGAAAATTATTTTTTAAATGCATAACACGGAAGAACAAAGGCAGTGAAAGTTATGTGTCTTCTCAGGTGTTGACAACAGATTATATTGAGAGTGCCAAAAAAGAGCTGAATTATTAGTTTAAATTCAATATACTGTAAGACCTGAGGAAAGGAGTGAAAGAGGGAATGAAGGCTGAGGAAGACAGAGAGTACAGAGAGTACATGAGGCAACAAGAAATGGGTTTAGGTAATAGAGGATGGTAAAATAAAATAATTCTTTAGCGAAAGATAAGGCATGATTAGAAAGTTTTGAAGAATATAAGGTGACCTTTCTTTACCAAAATTTGCCAGAGAATTACAGCAAACATGTTTTCACTCTTGTCTTTCTCACCGGTGGGAAGGCATTAGGGATGGAAGCACCTGACCATGGAGAGTTGTGTTTTATCTGCAAAGGGTTAATATAAGCATATTTGCACAGCTGTGCGTGTATATAATTTGTCATATACACTCGGTATTGACCAGAAGTTTTCAAACTTTAGAAAATCAGCTGAATACCTTGTCAACAATGCATGCTGTGATTCAGCAGACTTGGGATTCTGGAATTTTTAATAAGTTCTCAAGTGATGCTGATGCTGGTGGTCCTTGGACCTCACTCTTAAGTAGCAAGGGAATAGCCTTTCCTTTGGAAAAATCTGGAAGAAGGGCCATTGGATAGAAGGTCAAGACATAACAGGGTCAAGGGAAAGCATTATATTGCTTTTATTTCTGAGTATGTTTCTGACCAGAGGGGAAAAAAGAGGTAAAGAAATGGTAATTACAGATGTCAGATACTACCCCTAAACAAAGAGAAAAAAAGTGTTGGGAAAATTGATTTTAAGAGATGTTGAATGGGAAGAATCAAGACTACAGACGTAGACATTATTTTGGCTAAGGAAGAGGGATTGTGAGGCAGGACACGGGATAAGAGAGAAGATAGCCAGGCAACTTTCGAGTTTCTGAATAGGATATTTGAGTGAATTCACTTCAGATGCATTTAGAATATTTCTGTTAAATGAATATATTGATTTTCTGCCTCATGGCTCTCAGTACTCCTTGGACCTTTAATTCCATGAAATGTGGGAAATTTAGGTTACTTACAGCAATCATTTTTCCTAGAAATGTCTAATGTTTCTCCAAGGAGGCCCAAGTTGATTCTGAAGCTATTGTTGCATTGAGGAAAGACTATCTCATTGTAATTAAAGCAGCTTTTAATTTATATGCAGTACAAGTTCTTTAAGCTTATTTATTTAAAACGCATTCACACCAAATATACTGTCATGGCATATTGAAATTTCAAAGGGTTGAACATATATTTCCTAATATCAAAAAGTTAATTTCTTGAAGAATCTTACTTATTGATAATGTTTTTTGAAGAACTGTGTAATAAAGATTGCTTAGTCAATCAAACTAAGTAATACTAAAAAATAAAAACAGAGAGAATTGAGAGATGATAAGTAATTAAAGTTATCTGAGTGAATAGCAAATTTCAGACATAGTGTGTTTCATGGGAGAAGAGGATATTATTTCTTTTGTGAGGAAATAATTAATACAAATTAGTCAATTTTTATTGCTTTTTGCATTCTAATGAATATAAAGTTAATTTTTAGATTTTTAAGATTGTAGTTCTAACCAATTGACTATAGAAGTGGTGGTTGTTATTCAATAGAATATACAGGCTCCAGAAGAAAGTCCACAGATTCATGAATGAAAATAGATTTGTATATGTTTTTAAAATTTATAATAAGGAATGCTCTCATGAATGTATCTGTGATTAACATTTTTAGATCAGATGTTCCCATCAGAATCCAAACGAGAGGAAGATGAAGAATATTCTTGGGATTCTGGGGTATTGTGTATTATTGCTGTTATTATTCTCTAAAAATATTAATATTGAGTGATGTGAAAATGCAAAATCAGAGGCTTTGACTTGGTTCTCTTACCACTGCATATGCTCAGAAGAAATTCTGATATTTCTAAAAACATACTTGGCTGGGTACTGTAACTCATGCCTGTAATGCCAGCATTTTGGGAGGCCTGAGGTGGGAGGATCACCTGAGTTCAGGAGTTTGAGACCAGCCTGGCTAATATGGTGAAACCCTGTCTGTACTAAAAATACAAAATTAGTTGGATGTGGTGGTGCACACCTGTAATCCCAGCTACTCGGGAAGCTGAGGCAGGAGAATCACTTGAACCTGGGAGGAGGAGGTTGCAGTGAGGTGAGATTGCACCATTGCACTCCAGGCTGGGTGACAGAGTGAGACTCTGTCTCCAAAAAAAAAATACTTAAAAAAAATCTATGTGGTAAGTAGATTACTGCTTAATGGTGAAATTCTACTAATTTGCAGAATGAGTTTTAAACACTAGTGTAGTATAGTATAAAAAATAAGGCTTAGAATTCACCAGTAATTCACAAGTTCTGAGGTGAAATTTGGCCAAAAATTAAAGAATTACTCTGAGTCCACCTGTGGGCAAATATATGATTCAGTGGTATATCTAGATGTACAAAAGTTCTAATTGGATTAATAGAAAAACAGTTTAAGCTGCAGTTTTGTACAACTTGAAACATGAAAAGATAATGCTTTGGACTTGAACTTATTGACATACGTGTATTGTCCAGTATAGATCTGAAGGAACATTTCAGGAGAAAAATATGCATAAAGAATAGGAAACCAGTGGGACAATTTGTTTGAGTAGTGTTTTAAAAAGTAGAAATTATTTTTATAAATAGAACTCTTTGGGTCCGTTTGTGGTAGCCATGCTTATAGCAACATAAGTATCAAATAATAATGATGTGTAGTCCAAGGTCACAACTGTGGAAAGACACAGGAAGTGTCTGACCTCTTACATCCAAGCCCCTGCTGCACAGTGGTAACAGAAATGAGATGTCAATAGACAAGTAGATTTTATCTAATTTGTCCATAGACCAAAAAAAAGACTTTTTCTAATATTTGTCTGCTTTCATTTAAACATAACATAAACATAAGTTTTCCTTACTACTTTTTCATTTTATTCAAATACTTTTTCTATCAGCAGACATTTTATCAAAAACATTTTGATTATTTTAAGCCCTTGTTTACCTAAATATAGCCGCTTCTACAATGTTCTGAGTATTCTTTTTTTTTTTTTTTTTTTTTTTTGAGACAGAGTTTCGCTCAGTCGCCCAGGCTGGAGTGCAGTGGCTGGATCTCCACTCACTGCAAGTTCTGCCTCCTGGGTTCACGCCATTCTCCTGCCTCAGCCTCCGGAGTAGCTGGGACTACAGGCGCCCGCCACCACGCCCAGCTAATTTTTTTGCATTTTTTTAGTAGAGACGGGATTTCACCGTGTTAGCCAGGAGACTTATTCTTAACATTCTCTTTATGCCATGCATCATTTTTAACACTAAATAATTCTATAATCATGAATATTTTCCATGTTTAATGCAGTATGTATTTGCGGCAGCACTCCTCTCCAGGAGGCACCAGCTGCAGGGAGTCTGTCCCTTGCAGACCCCTGACCCAGGGAAAGATGAATAAAGTACATTGACACACAGATATTCTGCTCTGCCAGTCCAGCTGAGAGTGTCCGTGTGGCTTACAGACTCCCTGCTGAGTTCTGTGAACAGTTGCCACTATGGCCCTGATCAGCTAGTCAGACTCGCATTTATTCAGTAAGATAATAATTAACAAAAGCTTGAGTCAACACCATTAGAGGTTAATTGACATTGTGGACTTCCCAAGTAAAAAGCACTTAAGCACCTGTGGTACATCAAAGGTTAGTCTTAAGATTATATGAGTAAACTAGCTAGCTAGGTAAACTACTCTGCCTTCCTTTATGACTATTTTAATTTGTTTAACGAAAGGTAAAGATCAGGTTGCCTTCAACCATATCCATTACCAAAGTTATGCAAACTTCTCGGCCTTCGAAGAAGTTTTGTGTCTATCTCTATAACTATCTCTAATATTTTTCCCACCAGCCTGATTGAACTCCAACATGCGTTATGGCAGGTAGCAAGTGTATTGTATTTTGTTTGATGTGCTTTCTTGATTTTTTGGTGCAGAAGATAAAGTAAGATATTTTTAAGTGCGTTACTTTTTGAAATATGCAGATGAGTGAAAATTTGTGTCAATATTATTTATTTTTCATGCTCAGTAACCGAGTCAATAGCTGCATGAAGACAACAGATAAGTTTTGACCTAGATAGCATATGTGAGGGTTTCCATCAAAATGTCGTGATTTTCAATATGTGCCTATCCTCAAATCAAATTGCCTTTGAAGTCAGAAATTGAGTTTAAAAAATATTTTAATTAGGAATTTTGATGCTTCTTATGATTTTAAAATTGAAATTATCTATTGATACTACTTTTAACAGAGTCTCTTTGAGAGTTCTGCAAAGACTCAAGTGTGTATACCTGAGTCTATGTATCAGAAAGTAATGGAGATAAATAGAGAAGTAGAAGGTAAGAACAACTTTTTATTTGAAAAGTCTTTTAACCATATGTTTGTCTAAACGCATGATGACTGAAATACTCTAATAGCCAAATAAAATTACCCACTAAATACATAACATCGAAAAGAGAGGAGTAAAATGATAAGTTATGTATCTTTTCAGGTGTTGGCAACAGGAATATATAGAGAGTGCAAGAAAAAAACCGAATTATTTGTTTGAATCCAAGATACTCTAAGACATGAGGAAAGTCAGGAAATAAGTAAGGGAAAAGGAGTAAAAAGGGAATGAAGACTAAGGAAGGCAGAGAGAGTACAGGGAGTTCATGAAGGAACAAGAAGCAGGTTTATATAATGGAGGTGGCAAAATAAAATATTTTTTAGAAAAGATAGACCATGCTTAGAAAGATGGCAAGAATATAAAATGATCTTCTGGTCCCAAAACTTGTCAGAAAATTATTGCTAAAGTTTTTTCACTTTTCCTGTCTTTCTCACTACTGGGGAGGCATTAGGAATGGAATTATCTGAGCATGCAGAATTGTATTTTATTTGCAATAGGTGAGTATTAACAAAAATGCATAGGTGTGCATCTATATAATTTGTCATATACAGTCAGTATAGACCAATACTTATGAAACATTTAAAAATCAGCTGAATACCTTGGTAATACACAGTATCATTCAGCACAATTGAGTTTCTAAATTTTAATAAGTTCTCAGGCGATGCTGATGTCAGTGGTCCTTGGAGCTCACTTTGAATAGCAAGAGGAGTGCTCATTAGGTTTCTATGTTACAATCAGGCATGACAAATATATATTTTGCTGATGTTAGCTATTCAAGTGAGATATATTTGAAACTAAGAACATTGCCTTTATATTTTAAGAAAGTGAGTTGTTTTGGTAAAATTGCCATTCCAAAAAAATTTATTATAGACTAATGATACACCAAATCAGACAAATTGTAGGAACTAAAAAAATACTGAATTTATACTTGAATAATAAGATTGCTTTTTAAAATAAATATTGTGGTGACTTAACAATATAAAAAGTTATTTATGTTTAATACATCTATTGCAATTAATTTTTATATAAATATGTCAATATTGAAAGCTTATAAATTATTTCCATGATGAGTTTTATACATCTTCTTGCATAAGTGGATCAAGAAGCATTCAGATGGATAAACTGGAGGATACAGAAATATAGGCATATGATTACACCATATGGTTATGGAAAACAGTGAATATTTATATTTAGTATTATGACCTAAGTATATATCCAAGCTGATCAATTCATAACACTTCACTGATGAGATGTCAATTCTACATTCAGCTGAACTCTCATCATAACTATGTACCTTTCCAAAGATAGGCCATATTAAAGAACATGATGAATAGAATAATATAAATGATTTTAATGTGTTTCATTAAGTATATGGTGTAGCATTCCATGTTCAGGTTTGACATTTATTTTCTCATATCAACCCTTTTTACACGTGAAACACAATCTCGCTTTTGAGGTCTTAACTGCATGATCTATGAAACCTATATTTATATTTTCTTCAGTGAATTCCTGTCATGTGTGTGTCCTAAACAAACCAAAAGAAAACTTCCCAAATCTAAACTATTCATTCTCAAAGTCAACCAAGAGGACTCAGTTAGATACTATCACTGCATTCACTCGGTTGGCTTTGTCATATTTACTTATGATTGATGATAAATCTCTTTTGCATTTTAGAGCTTCCTGAGAAGCCATCTGCCTTCAAGGTATTTAGTTTTATGGTTTCATTTTGAATGACTTATTAACTATGTACTTTGTGAAGTACACATTCTTTATTGATCATTTTTCTTCCAAACCCATTTAGCCTGCCGTTGAAATGCAAAAGACTGTTCCAAATAAAGCCTTTGAATTGAAGAATGAACAAACATTGAGAGCAGGTAAATTTTTCAATTTAACTATGCAAAGATGAATAGTTCAATATTGGACATTTTGATAGTCTTTCTATCCCCAATGATTTATTTCTTTTAACTTTGATGAAAAGATTTGATCTAGATAATGCCAATACTGGTATTTATGTTTGAAAACCTGATATTACAAGAACAGTAATTTTCAATATATTTTTTTTAAAAAAATGTAGCCTTAATCTCAGGTGTTTCTACTTTTGTATCCCGAAACTGTAATGTTTTCTATTTTGAACTTCTGTATTTCTTAAAGATTCAAGAAGGTGAATTTTGAAACTCTAACTTTTTTAGTTCTTTGAAGCTTGATTCAGATTCCACGGTTTACTTCGGGGATCAAGTCTTTTACTGATATAACACTTGTGTTTTAATATTAATTACCTCATTTCCGGTGTTGTCACTTTGGGAATCTTAAGAAACTCAGTAACTCGGATCAGTGAACTCTGTGTGTTTGTGTTTGTGTGTGTGTGTGTCTGCGTGTGTTCCTGTGTGTGTCTGTTTATGTGTGTGGTACCTTTACCTTGTAAAGATGAGGAAAGTAATTAGTCATTTATTTGTGAATATTTGATAAACACATTTTTCCTAAAACTGTAATTCTGAAGCATTTGGCTTTAGAGTCTTTTTACACTAACCTACTTTTTAAAACTATTCTTATGCATGTTTAAATATTTTACAACGTGTGCATGGTCATATTTAATATGTACAATTTTTTTCAACTTCTAATGTATACATGGTTGTACAGTGTAATGTTCAGCAACATTCTTATTTGATCAGCATTATAATTTTTGGATTCATCCATAAAGGACACAATTAACTGTGTTTTTAAATATTAGGTTGTTTATAAAATTCCATTGTATGACAGTAGCATAGTTAATTGCACAGTTTTTATGCTGATAAGTAATAAATAAAAATGAAAACATGCAGATTTCCAAGTCTTTAAAAAGTTAGTTTTATGTGCTAATTTTTTAGTTATTAGAAATTAAAAGTAAAATATTTAAAATATTTCCTTGTGCAATCATACATTCCACTAAGAATTTGAACTGTGCCCCACAGCTTCTTAGAGCTATGGTGTGGCAACACGTAAGATCTCTGAAACGATCCAGGGTATGCTTCTGAAAATGAGTGAAAATGGTGACTTACCAAAGTATGATCTGAGTTTCTTGGACCCTCTGCATGAAATGTGAACATCAGGGATGCTGAGATCACAGGTTAAATTTACTTTTGAAAACCAGGTAGATTTGGGAGGCCGAGGCGGGTGGATCATGAGGTCAGGAGATCGAGACCATCCTGGCTAACAAGGTGAAACCCCGTCTCTACTAAAAATACAAAAAATTAGCCGGGTGCGGTGGCGGGCGCCTGTAGTCCCAGCTACTCGGGAGGCTGAGGCAGGAGAATGGCGTGAACCCAGGAAGCGGAGCTTGCAGTGAGCCGAGATTGCGCCACTGCAGTCTGCAGTCCGGCCTGGGCGACAGAGCGAGACTCCGTCTCAAAAAAAAAAAAAAAAAAAAAAAAAAACAGGTAGAGAGTTGATAGATGTCGAATGATAAATGTACTGTTAATGATGAAACGGTCTTTTAACTTTTAGTTGTGCACGTTTGCTTTTTTCTTTAACCTGACTCAAATAGTTGTAATTTGTACTTTTTGCTGATAAAGAAAACTGGAAGTTATTTTTGGTATAAATTCATTTTCTGTCTTATGTGCCTGAGAACTCCTCAAGTCTTGTGTGGGCCTTGATTTTATCCTATACAACATGTGGGAACGTTAGATTACTTAAGGCAATTATTTTTTCCTATACATTTCTGATGTTTCTCCAAGGTGTCACAAGCTGACTCTGAAGATATTGTTGCATTAGGGAAGCAGTGTGTCGTTGTAATTAAAGCAGTTCTTAATTTATATGCAATAAAAGTTTTTTAAGCTTATCATCCTAAAACATATACACACCCAAAACACACCCAATACACTGTCATAGCATATTGAAATGTAAAAGGGTTGGACATATAGTTGACTAATATCAAAAAGTTAATATTCCTAAAAAATTTTATTCATTGATAGATCATCTTTTTTGAAGAGCTGTGTAATAGAGATTGCTGAGTCAATCAAACTAAGTAACACTAGAAACTAAAAATTTACAAAGAAATGAGAGATGATAGGTAATTAAAGTTTTCTGAATGAACAGCAAATATAGGACATACTGTGTTTTACAGGAGAAGAGGATATGATTGCTTTGTGAAGAAATAACTCATACAAGTTAGTCAAATTTCTATTTTTCTTCATTCTAATGAAATAATGTTAATTTTCAGACTTTTTAGGTTTCAATTCTGATGGAGTGACTATAGAAGTAGTCACTGTAATCAACAAAAAGAATATACAGGCTACAGAGGAAAAACTACAGATTCGTGAATGAAAGTAGACTTGTGTATGTTTTTAAAATTTATAGTAGAGAAATGTTCTCATGAATACATCTGTGATTAACCTTTTATAGCTCAGATGTTCCCATCAGAATCCAAACAAAAGGACGATGAAGAAAATTCTTGGGATTCTGAGGTACTATGTGTTATTGATTTTTTTAAATATTAGTATTGCATGAGATGAAAACATAAAATCAGATGCTTAGACTTTATTTTCTCACCTCTGCATATGTCACCCCCAAATTATTTTTTGATATTTTTCAGAATACGCTTAATAGAGAATATATGTGCTAAGTAGATTACCACTTCATGGTGAAATTCTGTGAATTTGTAGGATTAATTTAAGAAGCCGGTGTGGTATAGTGTAAAAAATAAGGCTTAGAATTCACTAGAAATTCACATGGGATCTGAAGTACGTTTGTCTAAAAGCAAAAGAATTACACTGAGTCCAGCTATGGGCAAATACATGATTCTGTCTTATATCTAGATGTACAAAAGTTCTAACTGGATTCATGGAGAGACACTTTAAACTACAGTATTGCAAAAGTTGGGACCTGAAAAGTTAGTGCCTGGGACTTGAACGTATTGACATATCTTTATTGTTCAGTATAGATCTGAGGGGACATTTCAGGAGAAAGAAAAGCATGAGGAATAGGAAACCTTGTGGGAATATAATAACAAGAGTATTGGTTGAGCAGTCTATTGAAAAATATAAATTATATTTTCACAAATAGAACTCCTTGAGTCACTTTATGGCAGTGAAGCTGCAGCAGCATGAGCGTGAAATAATAGTGATGTGTTTTAAGGTCACAACTGTGGAAAGACATAGAAAGTATCTGACCTCTTAGAAACAAGCAGCTGCTGCCTGATGGTAACAGCAAAGGGTTGAAGTCCATAGAGAGGTAGATTTTATCTGATTTTTTATTAGACAAAACACTTTAATACCTGTTTGCTTTCATTTAGACATGACATAATTTTTTTCTTACTGCATTTACATTCTATTCAAGCACTTTTTCTATCATCATAAATTTTGTCAAAAACATGTTGCTTATTTTAAGCCCCTGTTTACCGAAATAAAGCAGCTTTTTCAGCATTCTGTGCATACACTATATGACAGACTCTAAAAGTTCAAGACAGACATCATTTTTAACGCTAAACAGTTCTATGACCATGAATATTTTAAATGTTTAATGCTGTATGTGTCATGGCAAGTAGAAAATGTATTGTATTTTGTTTGAAATGTCATTTATTTTTGATGAGGACTACAATATAAGTTAGATATTTTTAAGAGAGATACTTTTTGAAATATGCACGTGTGAATTTTTTCATGAACATGATTTGTTTTTCCTGCTCAGTAACCAAGTTAATGGCCACATGAATGTAAAGATAAGCTTGATGTAGAGAGAGTTATGTGAGGTTTTCTTTTATTTTCTTTTATTATTATTATACTTTAAGTTTTAGGGTACATGTGCACAATGTGCAGTTTAGTTACATATGTATATGTGAGCCATGCTGGTGTGCTCCACCCATTAACTCGTCATTTAGCATTAGTTATATCTCCTAATGCTATCCCTCCCCGCTCCCCCCACCCCACAACAGTCCCCAGAGTGTGATGTTCCCCTTCCCATGTCCATGTGTTCTCATTGTTCAATTCCCACCTATGAGTGAGAATATGCGGTGTTTGGTTTTTTGTTGTTGCAATAGTTTACTGAGAATGATGATTTCCAATTTCATCCATGTCCCTACAAAGGACATGAACTCATCATTTTTTATGGCTGCATAGTAATCCATGGTGTATATGTGCCACATTTTCTTAATCCAGTCTATCATTGTTGGACATTTGGGTTGGTTCCAAGTCTTTGCTATTGTGAATAGTGCCACAATAAACATATGTGTGCATGTGTCTTTATAGCAGCATGATTTATAGTCCTTTGGGTATACACCCAGTAATGGGATGACTGGGTCAAATGCTATTTCTAGTTCTAGATCCCTGAGGAATCGCCACACTGACTTCCACAATGGTTGAACTAGTTTACAGTCCCACCAACAGTGTAAAAGTGTTCCTATTTCTCCACATCCTCTCCAGCACCTGTTGTTTCCTGACTTTTTAATGATTGCCATTCTAACTGGTGTGAGATGGTATCTCATTGTGATTTGATTTGCATTTCTCTGATGGCCAATGATGGTGAGCATTTTTTCATGTGTTTTTTGGATGCATAAATGTCTTCTTTTGAGAAGTGTCTGTTCATGTCCTTCACCCACTTTTTGATGGGGTTGTTTTATTCTTGTAAATTTGTTTGAGTTCATTGTAGATTCTGGATATTAGCCCTTTGTCAGAAGAGTAGGTTGCGAAAATGTTCTCCCATTTTGTAGGTTGCCTGTTCACTCTGATGGTAGTTTCTTTTGCTGTGCAGAAGCTCTTTAGTTTAATGAGATCCCATTTGTCAATTTTGGCTTTTGTTGCCATTGCTTTTGGTGTTTTAGACATGAAGTCCTTGCCCATGCCTATGTCCTGAATGGTAATGCCTAGGTTTTCTTCTAGGGTTTTTATGGTTTTAAGTCTAACGTTTAAGTCTTTAATCCATCTTGAATTACTTTTTGTATAAGGTGTAAGGAAGGGATCCAGTTTCAGCTTTCTCCATATGGCTAGCCAGTTTTCCCAGCACCATTTATTAAATAGGGAATCCTTTCCCCATTGCTTGTTTTTCTCAGGTTTGTCAAAGATCAGATAGTTCTAGATATGCACCATTATTTCTGAGGGCTGTGTTCTGTTCCATTGATCTATATCTCTGTTTTGGTACCAGTACCACGCTGTTTTGGTCACTGAAGCCTTGTAGTATAGTTTGAAGTCAGGTACTGTGATGCCTACAGCTTTGTTCTTTTGGCTTAGGATTGACTTGGAGATGCAGGCTCTTTTTTGGTTACATATGAACTTTAAAGTAGTTTTTTCCAATTCTGTGAAGAAAGTCATTGGTAGCTTAATGGGGATGGCACTGAATCTATAAATTACTTGGGCAGTATGGCCATTTTCATGATATTCATTCTTCCTACCCATGAGCATGGAATGTTCTTCCATTTGTTTGTATCCTCTTTTATTTCATTGAGCAGTGGTTTGTAGTTCTCCTTGAAGAGGTCCTTCATGTCCCTTGTAAGTTGGATTCCTAGATATTTCATTCTCTTTGAAGCAATTGTGAATGGGAGTTCACTCATGATTTGGCTCTCTGTTTGTCTGTTATTGGTGTGTAAGAATGCTTGTGATTTTTTACATTGATTTTGTATCCTGAGATTTTGCTGAAGCTGCTTATCAGCTTAAGGAGATTTTGGGCTGAGACAATGGGGTTTTCTAGATATACAATCATGTCATCTGCAAATAGGGACAATTTGACTTCCTCTTTTCCTAATTGAATACCCTTTATTTCCTTCTCCTGCCTAAATGCCCTGGCCAGAACTTACAACACTATGTTGATTAGGAGTGCTAAGAGAGGGCATCCCTGTCTTATGCCAGTTTTCAAAGGGAATGCTTCCAGTTTTTGCCAATTCAGTATGATATTGGCTGTGGGTTTGTCATAGATAGCTCTTATTACTTTGAGATACGTCCCATCAATACCTAATTTATTGAGAGTTTTTAGCATGAAGGGTTGTTGAATTTTGTCAAAGGCCTTTTCTGCAACTATTGAGATAATCATGTGGTTTTTGTCTTTGGTTCTGTTTATATGCTGGATTACATTTATTGATTTGCGTATATTGAACCAGCCTTGCATCCCAGGGATGAAGCCCACTTGATCATGGTGGATAAGCTTTTTGATGTGCTGCTGGATTCGGTTTGCCAGTATTTTATTGAGGATTTTTGCATCAATGTTCATCAGGGATATTGGTCTAAAATTCTCTTTTTTTTGTTGTGTCTCTGCCTGGCTTTGGTATCAGGATGATGCTGGCCTCATAAAATGAGTTAGGGAGGATTCCCTCTTTTTCTATTGATTGGAATAGTTTCAGAACGAATGGTACCAGTTCCTCCTTATACCTCTGGAAGAATTCGGCTGTAAATCCATCTGGTCCTGGACTCTTTTTGGTTGGTAAGCTATTGATTATTGCCACAATTTCAGATCCTGTTATTCGTCTATTCAGAGATTCAACTTATTCCTGGTTTAGTCTTGGGAGGGTGTATGTGTTGAGGAATTTATCCATTTCTTCTAGATTTTCTAGTTTATTTGTGTAGAGGTGTTTATAGTATTCTCTGATGGCAGTTTGTATTTCTGTGGGATTGATGGTGATTTCTATCAAAATGTTTTGATTTTCTATACGTGTGTACTCTTAAGTCGAATTGTTTGCAAACTAGGAAATTGTGTTTTTAAAAAAGATTCTAGTTAGAAAATTTTGATACTCTTCATTACTAGGATTTTTTCATTGAAATTATTTATTGATATTACTTTTAACAGAGTCCCTGTGAGACGGTTTCACAGAAGGATGTGTATTTACCCAAAGCTACACATCAAAAAGAATTCGATACCTTAAGTGGAAAATTAGAAGGTAAGAACCATTTTTTAATTAAAAAGTCATTTGACCAAATATTTATCTAAACTGATGAGGAAGGATATCCTCTAATAGATGAAGAAAATTACCTCCTTAATGCAAAGCACAGAAAAAAGAGAAGTGAAACGGTGATAAGTTATACGTCTTATCAGGTGTTGGTAACAGAGTATATTGAGAGTGCTGAAAAGGAACTGAATTATTAGTTTGAATTCAAGGTATTCCAAGAGCTGAGGAAAATGAGAAAATAAGAAAGGAGAAAGTAGTAAAAGAGGAAATGAAGATCGAGAAAGACAGAGAGTACAGAGAGGACGGGAAGGAACAAGAGGCAGGTTTATATAATGGAGGATGGTAAAATGAAATGATTCTTTAGGAAAAGATTGGGCATGGTTAGAAATTTGGGAAGAATGTAAAGTGACTTTCTAATGCCAAAACATACCAGAGAATTACAGCAAAAATATTCTGACTCTTCCTGTCTTTCTCACTGGTGGGAAGCCATTAGGGATGGAAGCAGCTGACCATGGAGAGCTGTGTTCTATTTGCAATAGTTGAGAATAAGCATATATGCATGGCCACACATGTATATAATTTGTCATATACACTCCGTATAGACCATAAGTTTTCAAACTTTAGAAAACCGTCTGAAAACCTTGTTAACAATTCACACTGTGATTCAGCCGACTAGGGATTCTGCATTTTTAGTAAGTTGTCAGGTGATGCTATTGCTGGTGGTCCTAGGACCTTGCTCTGAGTAGCAAGATGAGAGACCTTTGTGGGAAAAATGTGGAAGAAGGGCCATTGGGTAGAAGGTCAGGACAGAAAAGGGTCAGGAGAAAGCATTATGGTGCTCCTATTTTTGAGTATGTTTTTAGTTAGGGGAGAAGAAGAAAGGGGCAATGGAATAGAAATTGTAGACGGAAGATACTACTGCTAAACAAAGAAAAAGGAAAGAGTGTGTGTTGAATGGGAAGAAACAAGAGCACAAGTCTAGAGATTACTTTTGCTAAAGAAGAGAGATTATGAGGCAGGAAGCAGGGGACAAGAGAGAAGCCAGCTAGATTATTTTGGATTTTGTATGAAGGAAAATGGAGTGAATTCACTTCGGAAGCATTTAGAATATTTTCACTGCAGAATGTTAGAGTGTGGGTGCTCCAGAGACTTTTGGAATCATGAGGATTACTAGAATTGGACTAAACCTCAGTGACTCATTAATTTTCTTTATTACTATGAGGCATCAAATATATATATATATATATATGTATATATTTTGTTGATATTCACAGTTTGAATAAGATATACTAGAATGTAAGAACCTTGGCTTTATTTTTAAGGAAGCAAATTGTGTTGGTAAAATTGCCATTTTATAAAACCTCATTAGCGAATAACATGATATACCAAACCAGACTAATTTTAAAAACCATAATTCTGAATTCATGACTTGAATACTTAAATTGTTGTTATTCATAGGTATTTTACTGATTTTAACCTAGAAAATTTTGTTAATATTTAATGTCTGTTGCAACTAAATTTATAACAAATACATCAATATTGAGGGCTAATTAAGTTTGCTGTTCCTGATGAGGTTTGTACATCTTCCTCCATGAGTTGATCAAGAAATATTGAGATGGCAAAGCTAGAAATTACAAAAATGTTGGATACTATTGTAGCATACGGGTATGAAAATCAATGAATATTTATATTTAGTATTATGCTCCAAGTATATATCCAAGCTGATCAATTCATAACACTTTCACTGATGAGATGTCAAATCTACATTCAGCTGAACTCTCATCCGAACTGTGTACTTTCTCAATGACAGGACATATTAAAGAACATGATAAATATTTGTAATGTAATGATACAAATTATTATAATGTGTTGCATTAAAGACACATGGTGTAGCATTCTATGTTCAGCTTTTGCATTTATTTTCTCAGTGTCATGATTTGCTCCTCTGATTCAAGATCACTTATCTCCTCATCACTCAGCGTATACATATTGGCATTAACATTTTTTGCAAAAATCATATATAAATGGGTGTACAATGTTCTTGTCATTCTACAGCAACTTTTTATTTTTTGTTCAGCGATTAGCTTGTTTTTCATTTATTTAAAGATTTCAGGCCAGGCGTGGTGACTCACGCCTGTAATCCCAGCACTTTGGGAGGCCGAGGCGGGCGGATCACGAGGTCAGGAGATCCAGACCATCCTGGCTAACACGGTGAAACCCCATCTCTAATAAAAATACAAAAAATTAGCCGGGCGTGGCGGTGGGTGCCTGTAGTCCCAGCCACTCAGGAGGTTGAGGCAGGAGAATGGCCTGAACCCGGGAGGTGGAGCTTGTATTCTGCCGAGATCTCAACACTGCACTCCAGCCTGGGCGACAGGGCGAGACACCGACAAAAGAAAAAAAAAAAATCATAGTGTGCATTTTTACTTTCCACCACATTTAATTAGACTCTCTTCATGGTGACTAAAAAGCATCATAATAATTATAGATGTCAACAAGCCTTTGTTTAAGTGTATGTCCTACTTCACGCTATATTAGAAATTAAAAGTGAAGTAATTAAAATGCAAGGATGCACAGCCATACATTTCAATAGCCATTACAAATGTGGCTCACTAATCTTTAGAGCCATGCCATGTGACCTGTCCTGATTTTAAAAAACTCCAGTGTACCCCTTTATAAAAAAAAGTAATTTAAAAAAATAACGAAGGTAGTATTTCCCTGCTTGCTTCCTCTGCATGGATTTTGAACTTCAGGGATAATCAGATCACATTTTAGAACCAGAGTTTTCAACCATAAATAGGATTCCTAAATGCCAAGTGATAAACGGTTCGTTGATGATGAGATAGCTCTGAATGTTTCATCTCTGCGTGTTTTGCTTTTTTATCTTGTCTTAGAAAGGTCAAAGCCAGCTATTTTCTTCATAAAGGAAAATATTTTGGTTACATACTCATTTCCTATCTCATGACACTCTGCTTTCTTTGCACTTAGTGAGGATGTACATTTATCATATTTTTACCTAAAACAAGCAGATGAATTAATGGTATCATTTCCTATATATGAATTTCTGAGGTTTCTTCAGTGCTTCAGAAGTAAAGTTTAAAGATATTAATGAATCGAGGACGATCTTCTCATCGTAATTAAAGCGGGTTTTTATTTAAAGTGTATTGAATACAATTTTAAGCACTTTTTTTCTAAAACACATACCTGCAACACGGTCATGCATATTTAGCCTTAAATCGCTTGGACATAAATTGTGTGTGTTTTAGAGAGTTTATGTCCCCTGAAGTGTCTTCATTACTGATCAATCAACTCCAAAGGAAACAACATATATACTTGATATGTCTAAATATATTAAAGTGTGTCTTACTGAAAAATAACAAAGTAGAGAAAAATGAGAGATTAAGCATGTTGTATTCATATTATTTGATGAAAGGAGATATATTTCTATTTCAAAGAAATGTCTGTTTTTTCTTGAAGCTAAGCTTTCTATAAAAGCTTTTTCATAACAGTGGCTTAACAACTCACATGGTATAACAAATAGAATTAGTTTTAGCAACAAAGCAATTGTAGAATTCATTCCTTGAACAATAAAACTGTTATTTTCAATAACCATTACTCTAACATTGAAATATGCAGGTTAATGATATGTAAAAAGTCTCTGGAAATTGACATCTAGTTTTTGATACTTTCATATCAGGTGTTTTTTCTTTTGTTGAGACAGAGTCTCGCTCTGTCATCCAGGCTGGAGTGCAGGGGCATGATCTTGACTCACTGCCACCTGGGCCTCCTGGGTTCAAGTGATTCTCACAGCTCCGGCTCCCAAGTAGCTGCGGTTACAGGCATGTGCCACCATACCTGGATGATTTTTGTATTTTTTGTGGAGACAGGGTTTCGCTATTTTGGCCAGGCTGCTTTGGAACTCCTGGCCTTGAGAGATCCGCCCTCTTCAGGCGTCCAAGGTTCTGGAGTTACAGGCATGAGCCATGCCACCTGGACTGTATTAGTTTGTGGATGGGTGTGCTTTGACTTTTCTGTATAAGTGGATCAGGAAATTTTGAGAGGACTAAACCAGAGAACCCCATAAATGTAAAAATACTCCTATTTCACAGAGGTTCAAAAATAAATATATTTATAAACTTTTATTCTATAAGTAGATATTTATGCTGATAAATTTAGAACATCCTCTGCAATGATAAGTAAATTGTACCTTTGAATTCTCATCGCAGCTTTGCAATTCTTAAATTACAGGACAAATTGAAGAACATAATAGCTACTTGCAGTATATTGACATAAGAGACTCTGATGTGTTTCCTTAACAATATGCCATAGCATTCTTCCGTTACCTAGGACTTATTTTTTTTTTTTTTGGCGGTGGGTCATGACTTGGTCATCTTAGTAAATTCAACTTCTTTCCCTATACGGCAGATTAATCTTACTGGTATTAGGATTTTTCTAATTTAGTTATTGTCAGTTGAAATATATTTTGATTGTTAAAATCTCCATAGCAAGTTTGATGAAGGTTATTTTTTAAGTTTTCTTAAGTATATTTCTGTCCCGTTGGCATGTTAACAAATACAAAAGCCCAAAAGACCCCAAAACCTAGTGTAATCCCTTTTCAATCCAAGCATGAGGATTCATCTTCATATTCACATTGTACGAATGCTTGGTAGGCTTTGTCAGGCTTGCATATAATCAATTATATATGTCCCTTTACGTTTAGAGTCTCCTGTTAAAGATGGTCTTCTGAAGGTAATAACTTTTATATTGCTATCTTGAATACTAACTACATATTTTAGGAAGCATATATTATGTATTAATTTTTGTGTTTCCAAACCCATTTAGCCTACCTGTGGAAGGAAAGTTTCTCTTCCAAATAAAGCCTTAGAATTAAAGGACAGAGAAACATTCAAAGCAGGTAAATTTTGTAATTTAACTTTTAATCTGTAATTAAGAATATTAAACTATTTGAAATGCCGAGAGGCTTTTATTCCCAATGTTGTTTTCTTTTGAAAATTTGGTGGGAAAATTTGAAACAAATAATGCCAATGTTAGCATTTATGTTTGAGAAAATGCCATTTACAAGCATAAGATTTAGAGATTAACAAAAAATTCAGCTTTGCCTCATGTGGATATCTGTCCAGCAGCCTGCAATACAATGGGGCCTTGTCTTTGTTCCCAGGTGGATCGGCAGGTTGAGACATAATAGACACAGACAAGATAGTGAAAGCTGGGTCCAGGGGAATCACCACCTTGTCGTCCCGTAGTGCCAACAATTCACTGGATATACCCACATTTATTATTAAGTTTAGTGAGGGTGGGGGTGGGTTAATGAGGGATTTAGGGTCATTTGATTATGAGGTGAGATGGTCCCATGTGGATGAAGTAATTCTGTAACTAACATCTGTATGCAGAAATACAGTATACAGGGATAAGAATTTACAATATAGTGTGTGCATCGGTAATTTCTAACAAAGCCTTAAAACAGAAATGCAGACTTTCCATAACCTATGATTAGCAAGATATTAATCAGCAGTAACAGTTGCAGCAAAAGCTGGTTACAAACAATCCATAGAAACAGGATGTGAAGCTAGACAACTGGGTAGACCAGAAATTCTCAGAAGGGAGTATGCCTTAACCCTAAAGAGGCCTAGAAGAGCCGTGGCAAGATGAGGGCATTCATAGCACTATCTTATCCATATGGACAGGTACCCCCCCATGCGTCTGTTTATAGGCTCTCCACAAGGGTAGGATTCCATTCCCAGAGCTATGAACATATGCCTTTCTGGGACAGGAATCTTGGTGACGCGAAACCTCCCTGACTGCACATCCATTCACAGGTTCTCTGCAGGGGGAAGCACATCACGTGCTGTTGGCTCATTCTGGCAGTCCAACCTGGCATTGTCTTTACACAATCCTGCATGCAGTTTTGTATTTACAATAACCAGGAGCATTGCATCTTTTATTCCATAGCAATAGTTTCAGGGGGTCTCCCTACAGTTGGCATGTTAACAAATACAATAACCCAAAGGACCCCAAAACCTAGTGTAATCCCTTTCCAATCCAAGCATGAGGATTCATCTTCATATTCACACTGTATGAACGTTTGGTAGGCTTTGTCAGGCTTGCATATAATCAATTATAAATGTCCCTTTTCTTTTAGAGTCTCCTGATAAAGATGGTCTTCTGAAGGTAATAGCTTTTATGTCTCTATCTTGAATATTAACTACATATTTTTGAAGTGTACATTATATATTAATTTTTGTGTTTCCGAACCCATTTAGCCTACCTGTGGAAGGAAAGTTTCTCTTCCAAATAAAGCCTTAGAATTAAAGGACAGAGAAACACTCAAAGCAGGTACATTTTGTAATTTAAATTTTAATCTGGAATTAAGAATATTAAACTATTTGAAATGCCAAGAGCCTTTTATTCCCAATGTTGTTTTCTTTTGAAAATTTGATGGGAAAATTTGATACAAATAATGCCAATGTTAGTATTTATGTTTGAGAAAATGTCATTTAGAAGCATAAGATTTAGAGATAAAAAAATTCAGCTTTGCCTCATGTGGATATCTGTCCAGCAGCCTGCAATGCAACGGGGCCTTGTCTTTGTTCCCAGGTGGATCAGCAGGTTGAGAAATAATAGACACAGACAAGATAGTGAAAGCTGTGTCCAGGAGAATCACCGCCTTGTCGTCCCGTGGTGCCAACAATTCACTGGATATACCCGCATTTGTTATTAAGTTTAGTGAGGGTGGGGGTGGGTTAATGAGGGATTTAGGGTCATTTGATTATGAGGTGAGATGGTCACATGGGGATGAAGTAATTCTTTAACTAACATCTGTATGCAGAAATACAGTACACAGGGATAAGAATTTACAATATAGTGTGTGCATCGGTAATTTCTAACAGAGCCTTAAAAAAGAAACACAGTCTTTCCATAACCTATGATTAGCAAGATATTAATCAGTAGTAACAGTTGCAGCAAAAGCTGGTTACAAACAATCCATAGAAACAGGATGTGAAGCTACACAACCGGTTAGACCAGAAATTCTCAGAAGGGAGTATGCCTTAACCCTAAAGAGGCTAGAAGAGCCGTGGCAAGATGAGGGCGTTCATAGCACTATCTTATCCATATGGACAGGCACCCCCCTCCGTGCGTCCATTTATAGGCTCTCCACAAGGGTAGCATTCCATTCCCAGAGCTATGAACATATGCCTTTCTGGGATAGGAACCTTGGTGATGTGAAACCTCCCTGACGGCACATCCATTCACAGGCTCTCTGCAGGGGGTAGCACATCACCCACTGTTGGCTCATTCTGGCAGTCCAACCTGGCATTGTCTTTACACAATCCTGCATGCAATTTTGTATTTACAATAATCAGGAGCATTGCATCTTTCATTCCATAGCAACAGTTTCAGGGGGTCTCCCTACAGTTGGCATGTTAACAAATACAATAACCCAAAAGACCCCAAAACCTAGTGTAATCCCTTTTCAATCCAAGCATCATGAGGATTCGTCTTCATATTCACACTCTATGAACGTTTGGTAGGCTTTGTCAAGCTTGCATATAATCAATTATATATGTCCCTTTTCTTTTAGAGTCTCCTGATAATGATGGTCTTCTGAAGGTAATAACTTTTATATTTTTATCTTGAATATTACCTACATATTTTATGAAGTATACATTATATGTTAATTTTTGTGTTTCCAAACCCATTTAGCCTACCTGTGGAAGGAAAGTTTCTCTTCCAAATAAAGCTTTAGAATTGAAGGACAGAGAAACATTCAAAGCAGGTAAATTTTGCAATTTTAATTTTACTCTGGAATTAAGAATATTAAACTATTTGAAATGCTGAGCACCTTTTTATTCCCAATGTTGTTTTCTTTTCAAAATTGGATGGGAAAATTTGATAAAATAATGGCAACATTAGTATTCATGTTTGAGAAAATGCCATTTACAAGCATAAGAAATAGGGATTTAGAAAAAAATTCTGCTTTACTTCATGTGGTTCTTCTTTAATATCCCGATAGTATAAAGTTTCCAATTTGCAATTTCTGTACGTGCTCGGTTTTAAGGCAGGTGAATTTTGAAACTGTGAAATATTTTCAGTGTTTCAAATGCTGACTGGAATTCTGATCTTTACTTTGAGGAAAGTTTCACTTGCTGAGGTGACAGTTGTGAGCATTGTCACTCTGAGAATCTAAAGAAAATCAGTTTCTTGTTTTTCTGATTAGGTGACTGAGTGTGTGTGTGTGTGTGTGACATATAATTTTTAAAAATCATTACTTGATGATTCTTTGCTAGATACACTGTTTCAGAAGTGTGACTCTAAAGCTTTTGGCCTTGGTGTCTTTTTATGCTACTGTAATTAATTGCCTAGAGGTACAAAACAGCCTGAATTAATTTTTGTTGTCATTCCCATGCATGTTTAAATCATGTTACAACAGGCTGTGCACGGTGGCACATGCCTGTAATCCTGGCAATTTAGGAGACCAAGGTGGGCAGATTACTTAAGGTCAGGAGTCGCAGACGAGCCTGG
Source organism: Homo sapiens (assembly GCF_000001405.40). Taxonomy (NCBI): domain Eukaryota; kingdom Metazoa; phylum Chordata; class Mammalia; order Primates; family Hominidae; genus Homo; species Homo sapiens. Next base: position 14,800,042 of record NC_000018.10, read on the forward strand.
TCAACACAGTGAAACCCCATCGCTACTAAAAATAACAAACAATAGCCGGTTGTGGTGGTGGGTGCCCGTAATCTCAGCTATTCTGGAGGCTGAGGCAGGAGAATTGCTTGAACCCATGAGGCAGAAGTTGCAGTGAGCCAAGCTTGTGCCACTTTAGCCTGAGTGACAGAGTGAGACTCCATCTCAAAAAGCAAACAACCATAAATTCACAACATATGTGTGTGGTTCTGACTATGTGTAGAATTTGTTTTGACGTCTTAAATTTTCTTTTTTTTTTAAATTTTGATATGGCGTCTCGCTGTCTCGCCCATCTCGTTGTCTTGCCCAGGCTGGAGAGCAGTGGTGTGATCTTGGCGCACTGCAAGCTCCACCTCCCAGGTTCACGCCATTCTCCTGCCTGGGCCTCCCAAGTAGCTGGGAATCCAGACGCCTACCACAACGCCTGGCTCATTCTTTGTATTTTTAGTAGAAACGGGGTTTCACCATGTTAGCCAGGATGATCTCGACCTGCTGACCTTGTAATCCACCCACCTCGGCCTCCTAAAGTGCTGGGATTAGAGGCGTGAGCCACCGCGCCCGGCCCAGAGTCTTTTTACACTAGTACCATTTATTGCCTAGAAGTAACCAATATTCTAAACTACTTTTTAAAAGTATTCTTATGCATGTTTAAACATTTTCCAACATGTGTACGTGGTCATATTTAATACATAAAATTTTTTTCAACTTCTAATGCATAGGTGGTTGTACAGTGTAATTTTTGACAACATTCTGTTTTGATCAGCATTATAATTTTTAGAGACGTCCATAAAGGACACAATTAACTGTCTTTTTAAATGTCAGATTGTTTATAAAATTCCATTAAGTACACAATTATTATGCTGATAAATAAAAATGAAAACATGAAAATTTCAGAGTCTTTAAGTTAGTTATATCTACTGACTTTTTAGTTGTGAGAAATTAAAACTAAAATATTTAAAGTATTTCCTTGTGCAATCATACATTCCACTAACAATTCCAACTGCGACCCACAGATTATTAGAGCTATGCTACTGCAACACATTAGATCTCTGAAACGATCCAGGGTACACTTCTAAACATGAGTGAAAATGGTGGCATACCAAAGTATGATTTTAGTTTCTTGGTCCCTCTGCATGAAATGTGAACTTTAGGGATGCTGAGATTACATGTTAAATTTACTTTTAAAAACCAGATACACAGTTGATGGATGTCAAATGATAAACGTACCTTTAACGATGATACAGTCTTTTAGGCTTTAGTCGTGCATGTTTGCTTTTTTCTTTAACCTGATTCAAAGAGTTGTAATGTGTACTTTTGGTTGATAAACAAAGCTGAACGTTATTTTTGGTATAAATTCATTTTCTGTCTCATTGGCCTGAGAGCTCCTCAAGTCTTGTGTGGGCCTTGATTTTATCCTATAACATGTGGGGATGTGAGATTACTTAGGGCAATTATTTTTTCCTATACATTTCTGATGTTTCTCTTAGTTGTCACAAGCTGACTCTGAAGACATTGTTGAGTTAGGGGAGAACTATGTCATTGTAATTAAAGCAGTTCTTAATTTATATGCAATAAAAGTTTTTTAAGCTTATCTTCCTAAAACATATAGACACCCAAAACACACCCAATATACTGTCATGGCATATTGAAATGTAAAAGTGTTGGACATATAGTTTACTAACATCAGAAAGTTAATATCCCTAAAAAATCTTGTTCGTTGATAAATCATCTTTTTTGAAGAACTGTGTAATAGAGATTGCAGAGTCAATCAAACTAAGTAATACTAGAAAATAAAAATTTACAAAGAAGTGAGAGATGATAGGTAATTAAAGTTTTCTGAATGAACAGCAAGTATAGGACACACTGTGTTTCACGGGAGAAGAGGATGTAACTGCTTTGTGAAGAAATAACTCTACGAGTTAGTCAAATTTCTATTTTTCTGCATTCTAACGAATGATATAATGTTAATTTTCCGTTTTTTTAGATTTCATTTCTAACGGATTGACTATAGAAGTAGTGATTGTAATCAACAAAAAGAATATACGGGCTACAGAGGAAAAACCGCAGATTCGTGAATGAAAGTAGATTTATATATGTTTTTAAAGTTTATAGTAGAGAAATGTTCTCATGAATGTATCTGTGATTAACCTTTTATAGCTCAGATGTTCCCATCAGAATCCAAACAAAAGGATGATGAAGAAAATTCTTGGGATTTTGAGGTACTGTGTATTATTAATTTTCTTTAATACTAGTATTGCATGATACAAAAACATAAAAGCAGAGGCTTAGACTTTATTTTCTCACCTCTGCATATGTCACTCCCAAATTATTTTTGATATTTTTCAGAATACGCTTAATAGAGGATCTATGTGCTAAGTAGATGACTGCTTCGTAGTGAAATTCTGCTAATTTTCAGGCTTAATTTAAGAAGCCGGTGTGGTATAGTGTAAAAAATAAGGCTTAGAAGTCACTAGAAATTCACATGGGATCTGAAGCAAGTTTGTCTAAAAGCAAAAGAATTACACTGAGTCCAGCTGTGGGCAAATTTATGATTCTGTGGTGTATCTAGATGTGCAAAAGTTCTAACTGGATTCGTAGAGAGACAGTTTAAACTGCAGTATTGTAAAAGTTGGGACCTGAAAAGTTAATGCCTGGGACTTGAATGTATTGACATTTCTGTATTGTTCAGTATAGATCTGAGGGAACATTTCAGGAGAAAGAGGAGCATGAGGACTAGGAAACCTTGTGGGACTACAGTAACAAGAGTATTGGTTGAGTAATCTTTTGAAAAATATAAATTATTTTCACAAGTAGAACTCCTCGAGTCCCTTTGTGGCAGGCAGTCAAGCTGCAGCAGCATGAGTGTGAAATAATAGTGATGTATTTTAAGGTCACAACTGTGGAAAGACATAGAAAATATCTGACCTCTTAGAAACAAGCAGCTGCTGCCTGGTGGTAAGAGCAAAGGGTGGAAGTCAGTAGACAAGTAGATTTTATCTGATTTGTCGTCAGACAAAAAGACTTTAATATTTGTTGGCTTTCATTTAGACATGACATAATTTCTTTTCTTACTGCATTTACATTCTCTTCAAGCACTTTTTCTATCAGCATAAATTTTGTCAAAAACATGTTGCTTGTTTTAAGCCCCTGTTTACCAAAATAAAGCAACTTTTTAAACATTCCGTGCATGCATTATATGACAGACTCTAAAAGTTCTCTTCACGGCATGCATCATTTTTAACACTAAACAATCTATGATCATGAATATTTTAAATGTTTAATGCAGTACGTGTTATGGCTAGTAGCAAGTGTATTGTATTTTGTTTGAAATGGCGTATTTACTTTTAATGAGGACTACAACACAAGTTAGATATTTTTAAGAGAGTTACTTTCTGAAATATGCACGAGTGAATTCTTTCGTGAGTGTGATTTGTTTTTCCTGCTCAGTAACCAAGTTAATAGCCTCATGAACGTAAAGGTAAGTTGATGTGGAGAGTGTTATGTGAGGTTTTCTATCAGAATGTTTTGGGTTTCAACACATGTCTGCTCTTAAGTCGAATTCCTTGTAAAGTAGGAAACTGTGTTTTTAGAAAAGATTTTAATTAGGAACTTTTGATACTCCTCATTATTGGGATTTCTCCATTGAAATTATTTATTGATATTACTTTTAACAGAGTTTCCTTGAGACTCTCTTACAGAATGATGTGTGTTTACCCAAGGCTACACATCAAAAAGAATTCGATACCTTAAGTGGAAAATTAGAAGGTAAGAACCATATTTTATTTAAAAAGTCATTTGACCAAATGTTTCTCTGAACTGATGAGGAGGGATATCCCCTAATAGCTGAAGAAAATTACCTCCTGAATGCAAAGCATGGAAAAAAAGAGAAGTGAAATGGTGATAAGTTATACGTCTTATCATGTGTTGGCAGCAGACTACATAGAGAGTGCTGGAAAGGAACTGAATTATTAGTTTGAATTCAAGGTATTCCAAGAGCTGAGGAAAATGAGAAAATAAGAAAGGAGAAAGTAGTAAAAGAGGAAATGAAGATCGAGAAAGACAGAGAGTACAGAGAGGACGGGAAGGAACAAGAGGCAGGTTTATATAATGGAGGATGGTAAAATGAAATGATTCTTTAGGAAAAGATCGGGTATGGTTAGAAATTTGGGAAGAATATAAAGTGACTTTCCAGTGCCAAAACATACCAGAGAATTACAGCAAAAATATTCTGACTCTTCCTGTCTTTCTCACTGGTGGGAAGCCATTAGGGATGGAAGCAGCTGACCATGGAGAGCTGTGTTCTATTTGCAATAGTTGAGAATAAGCATATATGCACGGCCACACATGTATATAATTTGTCATATACACTCCGTATAGACCGTAAGTTTTCAAACTTTAGAAAACCGTCTGAAAACCTTGTTAACAATTCACACTGTGATTCAGCCGACTAGGGATTCTGCATTTTTAGTAAGTTGTCAGGCGATGCTGATGCTGGTGGTCGTTGGACCTTGCTCTGAGTAGCAAGATGAGAGACCTTTGTGGGAAAAAATGTGGAAGAAGGGCCATTGGGTAGAAGGTCAGGACAGAAAAGGGTCAGGAGAAAGCATTATGGTGCTCCTATTTTTGAGTATGTTTTTAGTTAGGGGAGAAGAAGAAAGGGGCAATGGAATAGAAATTGTAGATGGAAGATACTACTTCTATACAAAGAAAAAGGAAAGAGTGTGTGTTGAATGGGAAGAATCAAGAACACAAGTCTAGTGATTACTTTTGCTAAAGAAGAGAGATTATGAGGCAGGAAGCAGGGGACAAGAGAGAAGCCAGCTAGATTATTTTGGATTTTGTATGAAGGAAAATGGAGTGAACTCACTTCGGAAGCATTTAGAATATTTTTACTGCAGAATGTTAGAGTGTGGGTGCTCCAGAGACTTTTGGAATCATGAGGATTACTAGAATAGGACTAAACCTCAGTGACTCATTAATTTTCTTTATTACTATGAGGCATCAAATATATATATATATGTATATATTTTGTTGATATTCACAATTTGAATAAGACATACTAGAATGTAAGAACCTTGGCTTTATTTTTAAGGAAGCAAATTGTGTTGGTAAAATTGCCATTTTATAAAACCTCATTAGCGAATAACATGATATACCAAACCAGACTAATTTTAAAAACCATAATTCTGAATTTATGACTTGAATACTTAAATTGTTGTTATTCATAGGTATTTTACTGATTTTAACCTAGAAAATTTTGTTAATATTTAATAAGTCTGTTGAAACTAAATTTATAACAAATACATCAATATTGAGGGCCAATTAAATTTGCTGTTCCTGATGAGGTTTGTACATCTTCCTCCATCAGTGGATCAAGAAATATTGAGATGGCAAAGCTAGAAATTACAAAAATGTTGGATACTATTGTAGCATACGGGTATGAAAATCAATGAATATTTATATTTAGTATTATGCTCCAAGTATATATCCAAGCTGATCAATTCATAACACTTTCACTGATGAGATGTCAAATCTACATTCAGCTGAACTCTCATCCGAACTGTGTACTTTCTCAATGACAGGACATATTAAAGAACATGATGAATATTTGTAATGATATAAATTATTATAATGTGTTGCATTAAAGACACATGGTGTAGCATTCTACGTTCAGCTTTTGCATTTATTTTCTCAGTGTCATGATTTGCTCCTCTGATTCAAGATCACTTATCTCCTCATCACTCAGCGTATACATATTGGCATTAACATTTTTTGCAAAAATCATATATAAATGGGTGTACAATGTTCTTGTCATTCTACAGCAACTTTTTATTTTTTGTTCAGCGATTAGCTTGTTTTTCATTTATTTAAAGATTTCAGGCCAGGCGTGGTGACTCACGCCTGTAATCCCAGCACTTTGGGAGGCCGAGGCGGGCAGATCACGAGGTCAGGAGATCCAGACCATCCTGGCTAACACGGTGAAACCCCATCTCTAATAAAAATACAAAAAATTAGCCGGGCGTGGCGGTGGGTGCCTGTAGTCCCAGCCACTCAGGAGGTTGAGGCAGGAGAATGGCCTGAACCCGGGAGGTGGAGCTTACAGTCAGCCCAGATCTCAACACTGCCCTCCAGCCTGGGTGACAGGGCGAGACACCGCCAAAAAAAAAAAAGAAAAAAAAAATCATAGTGTGCATTTTTACTTTCCACCACATTTAATTAGACTCTCTTCATGGTGACTAAAAAGCATCATAATAATTACAGATGTCAGCAAGCCTTTGTTTAAGTGTATGTCCTACTTCACGCTATATTAGAAATTAAAAGTGAAGTAATTAAAATGCAAGGATGCACAGCCATACATTTCAATAGCCATTACAAATGTGGCTCACTAATCTTTAGAGCCATGCCATGTGACCCGTCCTGATTTTAAAATCTCCAGTGTACCCCTTTATAAAAAGAAAGTAATTTAAAAAAATAACGAAGGTAGTATTTCCCTGCTTGCTTCCTCTGCATGGATTTTGAACTTCAGGGATAATCAGATCACATTTTAGAACCAGAGTTTTCAACCATAAATAGGATTCCTAAATGCCAAGTGATAAACGGTTCGTTGATGATGAGATAGCTCTGAATGTTTCATCTCTGCGTGTTTTGCTTTTTTATCTTGTCTTAGAAAGGTCAAAGCCAGCTATTTTCTTCATAAAGGAAAATATTTTGGTTACATACTCATTTCCTATCTCATGACACTCTGCTTTCTTTGCACTTAGTGAGGATGTACATTTATCATATTTTTACCTAAAACAAGCAGATGAATTAATGGTATCATTTCCTATATACGAATTTCTGAGGTTTCTTCAGTGCTTCAGAAGTAAAGTTTAAAGATATTAATGAATCGAGAACGACCTTCTCATCGTAATTAAAGCGGGTTTTTATTTAAAGTGTATTGAATACAATTTTAAGCACTTTTTTTCTAAAACACATACCTGCAACACGGTCATGCATATTTAGCCTTAAAATGCTTGCACATAAATTTTGTGTGTTTTAGAGAGTTTATGTCCCCTGAAGTGTCTTCATTACTGATCAATCAACTCCAAAGGAAACAACATATATACTTGACATGTCTAAATATATTAAAGTGTGTCTTACTGAAAAATAACAAAGTAGAGAAAAATGAGAGATTAAGCATGTTGTATTCATATTATTTGAGGAAATGAGATATATTTCTATGTCAAAGAAATGTCTGTTTTTTTCTTGAAGCTAAGCTTTCTATAAAAGCTTTTTCATAACAGTGGTTTAACAACTCGCATGGTATAACAAATAGAATTAGTTTTAGCAAAGCAAAGCAATTGTAGAATTCATTCCTTGAACAATAAAACTGTTATTTTCAATAACCATTATTCTAACATTGAAATATGCAGGTTAATGATATGTAAAAAGTCTCTGGAAATTGACATCTAATTTTTGATACTTTCATATCAGGTGTTTTTTCTTTTGTTGAGACAGAGTCTCGCTCTGTCATCCAGGCTGGAGTGCAGGGGCATGATCTTGACTCACTGCCACCTGGGCCTCCTGGGTTCAAGTGATTCTCACAGCTCCGGCTCCCAAGTAGCTGCGGTTACAGGCATGTGCCACCATACCTGGATGATTTTTGTATTTTTTGTGGAGACAGGGTTTCGCTATTTTGGCCAGGCTGCTTTGGAACTCCTGGCCTTGAGAGATCCACCCTCTTCGGGTTTCCAAGGTTCTGGAGATACAGGCATGAGCCACGGCACCTGGACTGTATTAGTTTGTGGATGGGTGTGCTTTGACTTTTCTGTATAAGTGGATCAGGAAATTTTGAGAGGACTAAACCAGAGAACCCCATAAATGTAAAAATACTCCTATATCACAGAGTATCAAAAATAAATATATTCATAACTTTTATTCTATAAGTAGATATTTATGCTGATAAATTTAGAACATCCTCTGCAATGATAAGTAAATTGTACCTTTGAATTCTCATCGGAGCTTTGCAATTCTTAAATTACAGGACAAATTGAAGAACATAATAGCTACTTGCAGTATATTGACATAAGAGATTCTGATGTGTTTCCTTAACAATATGTCATAGCATTCTACCATTACCTAGGACTTATTTTTTTTTTGGCGGGGGGTCATGACTTGGTCATCTTAATAAATTCAACTTCTTTCCCTATACGGCAGATTAATCTTACTGGTATTAGGATTTTTCTACTTTAGTTATTGTCAGTTGAAATATATTTTGACTGTTGAAATCTTCATAGCACGTTTGATGAAATTTATTTTTTAAATTTTCTTAAGTATATTTCTGTCCCATTGGCATGTTAACAAATACAAAAACCCAAAAGACCCCAAAACCTAGTGTAATCCCTTTTCAATCCAAGCATGAGGACTCATCTTCATATTCACATTGTACGAATGCTTGGTAGGCTTTGTCAGGCTTGCATATAATCAATTATATATGTCCCTTTTCTTTTAGAGTCTCCTGATAAAGATGGTCTTCTGAAGGTAATTACTTTTATATTTCTATGTTGAATATTAACTACATATTTTTGAAGTATACATTATATATTAATTTTTGTGTTTCCAAACCCATTTAGCCTACCTGTGGAAGGAAAGTTTCTCTTCCAAATAAAGCCTTAGAATTAAAGGACAGAGAAACACTCAAAGCAGGTAAATTTTGTAATTTAAATTTTAATCTGGAATTAAGAATATTAAACTATTTGAAATGCCAAGAGCCTTTTATTCCCAATGTTGTTTTCTTTAGAAAATTTGGTGGGAAAATTTGATACAAATAATGCAAATGTTAGTATTTATGTTTGAGAAAATGTCATTTAGAAGCATAAGATTTAGAGATAAAAAAAATTCAGCTTTGCCTCATGTGGATATCTGTCCAGCAGCCTGCAATGCAATGGGGCCTTGTCTTTGTTCCCAGGTGGATCGGCAGGTTGAGAAAGAATAGACACAGACAAGATAGTGAAAGCTGGGTCCAGGGGAATCACAGCCTTGTGTTCCCGTGGTGCCAACAATTCACTAGATATACCCGCATTTACTATTAAGTTTAGTGAGGGTGGGGGTGGGTTAATGAGGGATTTAGGGTCATTTGATTTTGAGGTGAGATGGTCACATGGGGATGAAGTAATTCTTTAACTAACATCTGTATGCAGAAATACAGTACACAGGGATAAGAATTTACAATATAGTGTGTGCATCGGTAATTTCTAACAGAGCCTTAAAAAAGAAACACAGTCTTTCCATAACCTATGATTAGCAAGATATTAATCAGCAGTAACAGTTGCAGCAAAAGCTGGTTAGAAACAATCCATAGAAACACAATGTGAAGCTAGACAACTGGTTAGACCAGAAATTCTCAGAAGGGAGTATGCCTTAACCCTAAAGAGGCCTAGAAGAGCCATGGCGAGATGAGGGCGTTCATAGCACTATCTTATCCATATGGACAGGCACCCCCCATGCATCTGTTTATAGGCTCTCCACAAGGGTAGCATTCCATTCCCAGAGCTATGAACATATGCCTTTCTGGGATAGGAATCTTGGTGATGCAAAACCTCCCTGACTGCACGTCCATTCACAGGCTCTCTGCAGGGGGAAACACATCACGCGCTGTTGGCTCATTCTGGCAGTCCAACCTGGCATTGTCTTTACACAATCCTGCATGCAATTTTGTTTTACAATAATCAGGAGCATTGCATCTTTCATTCCATAGCAATAGTTTCAGGGAGTCTTCCTACAGTTGACATGTTAACAAATACAATAACCCAAAAGACCCCAAAACCTAGTGTAATCCCTTTTCAATCCAAGCATGAGGATTCATCTTCATATTCACACTCTATGAACATTTGGTAGGCTTTGTCAGGCTTGCATATAATCAATTATATATGTCCCTTTTCTTTTAGAGTCTCCTGATAAAGATGGTCTTCTGAAGGTAATAACTTTTATATTTTTATCTTGAATATTACCTACATATTTTATGAAGTATACATTATCTATTAATTTTTGTGTTTCCAAACCCATTTAGCCTACCTGTGTAAGGAAAGTTTCTCTTCCAAATAAAGCCTTAGAATTAAAGGACAGAGAAACATTAAAAGCAGGTAAACTTTGTAATTTAAATTTTACTCTGGAATTAAGAATATTAAACTATTTGAAATGCTGAGAGCCTTTTATTCCCAAAGTTGTTTTCTTTTGAAAATTTGATGGGAAAATTTGATACAAATAATGCAAATGTTAGTATTTATGTTTGAGAAAATGCCATTTAGAAGCATAAGAATTAGGGATTTAGAAAAAAATTCTGCTTTACGTCATGTGGTTCTTCTTTAATATCCCGATAGTGTAAAGTTTCCAATTTGCAATTTCTGTACGTGCTCAGTTTTACGGCAGGTGAATTTTGAAACTGTGAAATATTTTCAGTGGTTCAAATGCTGACTGGAATTCTGATCTTTACTTTGAGGAAAGTTTCACTTGCTGACGTGACAGTTGTGAGTGTTGTCATTCTGAGAATCTAAAGAAAATCAGTTTCTTGTTTTTCTGATTAGGTGACTGAGTGTGTGTGTGTGTGTGACATATAATTTTTAAAAATCACTACTTGATGACTCTTTGCTAGACACACTGTTTTAGAAGTGTGACTCTAAAGCTTTTGGCCTTGGTGTCTTTTTATGCTACTGTAATTAATTGCCTAGAGGTACAAAACAGCCTGAATTAATTTTTGTTGTC